>NC_000001.11:65917471-66220501 GCF_000001405.40 Homo sapiens | reverse complement strand
CTTCTTTGCAATTTCAATAATCAGTTTTGATATCCACATTAAAAGCCCCTCAACTTCATACTGCATTAAGAGGATGCTAATGTACCAGGCTCCTGAATGTCTCCCACTTTATCCCTTGGAACTTATGAAGAGACAATTTAGAAACTACAAAATGTTTTCTCGCTCTAATGGAAGGGAGGTGAAGCTTAAAGAAAAGTACCTGAGTAAAGAAGTACTGAATATTAATCTAGATCCATAATGCTTTGAAGTAGAGGGGATCAAAGAGCATTCTTCTTATCAGCTACTCCTCTCTTCTTCCCAATAGCAAGTGAAACATCCAATCTTGTGAACTTTTTGGCTGCTCAGCCCCAGATCACCTCCAAGCCTCCAGATACTTCCCTCTTCTTTCCTTTTACTTAGTTTGTCCTGTAATTAAGTAGCTTTTTCCAGCTCTTGGAAATTTTCCTCTTGCCCTTAATTCCTTGTTGCCTTGGAGGGTAAATTGGCAGGCCCTTCTAGTTTTATACATTGTCATACTAATCACTATAGAAAAACTGTCAAGAAATCATAAAAATAATAAACTGGAGAAATGATAAATGTTTCCAGAATTGTACACAGTATGTTGTCTCTGCTGCTTCATTTCTAACTCCCTTACAGATGTGGTAACTACAAGTCCTGCTGAGTTCCTGCTCTCTAATTTTATTGTTAACAATGTGGCTCATTTTCATCCCTACTCTTTGATCTTGTTTCTCTGAAAGGTCATGCAGAATCCTTCCTCAATAATAGTCTTCTTGACAGTGTTTGATCTGAAGATCCCAATTAGTAGTTTTATTTGGATAATTTGAACTCTGTGTTGGCCAGGTGAAGTGACACCTCTTCACATGTCATTGCCCAACCCAGCCATCATTAAAACACCTTTCAGCATAAAAACATGGTGCAGAATCCAAAGGTAGAGACCAGGAACAACAGGAAGGGATAATGTTGTGCTTTGCACATTTCTTTGGATTTCAACTTTTCCCATGACTTGTTCTCTAACACCACAGGCAGAATGGAAACAGATAGCACATCTTCACAACTGAAACCACAATGTAAGAAAATGCTGTAATGTGCAAGGTGATTTGTATCAACTATAAAGTTGCTCTCTGTGATGATTTACTAATAAGTTTCAACCTCTGTGAAACTTCTATGGCACAAAGTAAAAGCAATGAATTCTTAGTAGCAGCCAACAGAGCTGAATGAGAAACATGCCACCTTCACATTATCATGCATTACATGTCTACCTATACTGCCACTAACCCCTGCCATCATGTTGCCCTCGCCACTGCACCATGTTCCAGGAGAAATCATATTAGAAAAATTTTGAGTTACTTATCTTTATTGAGCCTGTATTTGAGAAGCCATACATGGCTAAGCTCTCCATTATAGTAGAACCATGTGAGAATGGGACCCCTACATATTTATATACCCTAAGTGAGTGGTAACTTGACTTTATTTATTCAAACTGAGAAGACAGGAACACTGATGCTATCAAATACTGTTGGCAGAAATAATGCAGATTAGTAAATGCGATGAGAACATGATTTTTTTCTATAAACAAAACATAATTAAATCCCACAATTAAAACCCAATAAAACAGCTTTTTTAAAGATAGCTACAGCTATCCATCTGTAGCTGGATGCAACCATCCAACCAAAATGTATTTAACTCTATCGAATGCTAGGCCTTGTAATAAGTGTTAAGAGTGCTAAAATGAATAAATATCATCTCTGCTCTCAGGAACTGTAGTCTAGTGGTAGAATAGCATATGTACAAGGATCTAACAGCAGATTTCTTCCAAGATCATAGCATTTCTGAAGGGTGGGAAAGAGGTCCCAGAGGGGTCATGGAAAGATTAACATCTTCTGGGCTGGGGGTGGCTGGTGAGCACTGATATTGAAAAGGATTGATTATCTAGGAGGAGTATAACTTTTTGGAAAACAGAATGAAATGAGATCATTAAGGATATGGCTCATCTCCATGAGAGACGAGCTGTCAGCAGAAACAGCAGTAATCACTGAGCCCAAAGCATGGCTGGAGTCATCTCCCTACCTCCCTTCTTTGTACTTTCCAAACAGTTTAGAAAGAGATTGTGTAACTTTGGGGTTTGTTTCACAGTGAACACCTGGGACCACTTTCATTTCCCACTCATGGAGGCCAGTAAATTCCTGCCCTAATGACACTGTCCTTGGACTTCATGACATGAGGCCCTCTCTGTCACTGCATTTGAGATATCGGCCGACATCACTTAGGAGTAACCTAGCTTCCTCCTTGTCCTTAATTTGGTAGTTAGAAGCTACTATTTTGGAGTGCATTGAATCTTCCTGCAGTTCCCATGCACTAGATAGTAAACCACTAACAATTTGCACCCAACAGCTTTACAGAGGTGTTGGAAGGATAATCAATTACCAGGCTAATGCTGATTCCCCAGTTTTCCCTGCCTTCAATTTCTCCTCCATCAAATCATCTGCTATAATGTTGTCAGCTTAATCTTTCTATAACACATTTCTAAGTAAAACACTCCCTTCCTCAACATCCTTCAATGTCTTCTTACTGCCTATCAAAATTCTCACCAGCCAGTAAAAGTTCTCAATGATCTCGTCTCAAGCTACTTTTCCAGCCCCACTTTTTGTATGTGCATGTCTCTTCTCCCTAAACTTAAAGCATAATATATTGAAATATTGTTTGAAAGATCCCAGATACAGTTGCAGTACCAGGAATGTCAGTAGATAATAAATAATAATTGCGCAACAGAACCTAGGCCTTGATGGATAAATAAATTTTCTTTTACTAAATACAAAACTAATAAAAATAATTAAACAAATCATACAAATATGCAAAACAACTGAGCTAATTATTCTCCATTTGCCTCTCCCTATCCCCACCCTCCAATCCATTTTCCATCTTTGTGACCTAAGGGACTGACCATGGGTTCCTTTGCCCTTTGACTTTTGGTCGAGTTCAGCCAACAGGAGACATCAAAAAGAGACAGACAGGCAGAAGGAGAAAGATGGCAGTGCACCTCTCTTCTTGCTCCTTCCTGCTTGACACTGCAGCTCTTGTGGCTGCTGCATTTTATGCCACATTAATCATTTCTTCCTCCTGCTTCTTCAGGCCTAGCAGTAGTGACCACTTCCCACTGTTGCTAGTCATTGCGCATCTCAATATCCTTGCCTACACTTCTGTGAATACCTTTATCAAGTGTCATTTACAATCCCAGCCAGATGTACTTTTTTTTCTTGCCTAGCCAATGACAGCTACAATGCTGGGGTAAACACACAATGACTAAGTATAATAGCCTCAGATGGCCTTCATCTGAGGCTAATGACACACTTGGGAGAGGATCTGGAGAGGGGAAGCTGACACCACTACAAACCACTCCATTTCCCTTCTTGTACTTAATGACTTTCCTTATTTTTTATGCTGGGAGAATAAACTTGGAGCAAATGAAGCAGACATGATGATGTAAGAAGAGAGTAATTTAAGTTCGAGGCTTTATTTGATCTCAAATGCAAGGGAATTTATAACAGGCTGAAGTCTAGGGACATGATTTGTCCTCAGTTTCCCTTGCTGTGCATAGGTAATGAGGCTGAAATTGATAACACACTACCCAGAGAGTCACAGTCAAGTCCAGAAAAGAATTTGGCAAATTAATGACTGTGCTATTAAGACTGCTTTCTTTTCCAACCAGCCTCCCCTTCCCTGTGCCTGAAACGAGTTGTTTCTGCATCTCTTTTCCATTATTCTCTTGCACACCATGCACTGGCTAGTTTGGAAGTAAATATGTGAAATTCTGTTCCTAGCTAATAGCTGACTATGCTTTGAGACACTTTCAGAGGTGTCTTAAGAGAGCAGTCTCATGGCCAAATTGCATTGCTTTGTCTAATAATATGATGTGCTTTTGACAAAAGTAACATATAATATGTTCATTTAAAGACTGTTTGGCTAGGTCTACTGAAAATGAGTCCACAAAAGTGATGCAGGAAATTCAGAGGTGTAGTTGAACATTCACAACTGAGTACTCTAATACCTCTTTATAACAAAACTGTAACCAGTTTATTGCAAAATCTCAACTCTGTTGGGGATAAATTAAGAACGACTTTTTATTTTTTGAATTGCTTTCTTCAAATATACTGTATTCATCAGGAGTTCTACAGAGAAACAGAACCAACAGGAAATGAGGCCCATGCACATTGAGGAGGGCAAACTGCTTTACTTAACCTATCAATTGAAATAGATAGGATATTTTAAAATAAATAAAAATTATTTATATTATATTATATACATAATTATGTTATTTATTTTAAAAAATAAAATAGAGGGTATTTCAATCAGAAATACCCTCACCGACACACCCAAAATAATGTTTAACCAAATATCTGGGCACCCAGTGGTCCAGTCAATTGACACATAAAATCAAACCTCACATGGTTTTTGAGTTTCCCTTTGCTGTTACATTTCAATAACATCCCAGGCAAATCCCATGACTTTGCAAGCACTTTCAGTTTTGGAACTACATTCCATGCCACTTTAAAACTCCAATCTCATACCAAATGTCATGCTTCCCCTCACCACTGGCTCAACATTTGGCCTTTGCTCTTTTACTCATCCTGCCAGTGTAGCCCCTTGTGAGATGGGGACAGAGTCTGGGGATGTATCATCCCTTTAGCTCTCCTTTCAAGGCCTAACTCCAGAAAGAATAGGGGAGGCAGAGATATACTTAGGTAACTGTTCACTCATTGGTCCAGAAGAGTTCTCCCTGGCCTCTCTCTGGTTCATGGCCTCCATGTGGATGGGGCATTGCTTTACCTGGGGGCATGTTCAGCTTTGACTCAATCTCCTGTCTCTGAAGCCTCCTGCAGAAAGAAGCCATCATATTGCTCTTCCATCCCCAAAGGAATCTAAGCCCTTGTACAGCTGAGGGTAGAATATTATGTTACTTGACCAGCAGTAACATGGCCAGCTTACAACTCCTCCCTCCTCTGTAATATTGTATGTTTACCCTCTTGTGGAGTCATAGGAGCTACTGAAGCACTCTTCTTCCTTTTCTAGTATAGCATAGCTACAAACTAGGAGTTCTAACATCAACATCTAACATCTAACATCTTGGCATTATGTTACTGCTGGTTCTCTTATCACCTTCTAGCATCTCCCAGGCCTAGGATTTTGACCTATGAACCATCTTAGAAAAAATGATGTTCTTCACTGACTTTCAAAACTATATGCTTCTACAGTGAAAATATTTGCTAGCATTGGCTAATGCTAAAACCTTCCCATTGGCTTGTTGCCTATGACCTGCTAGCTGTTGAAAGAGATTTCTGAGGCATTCTGTTGCATCTTTTTGTACTTCCTGTGCTGAGCTTTGCACCTCCTGGGCTCTGTCTGCCTGTCAAAACACCCCATTACCTCATACTAAACTTTCCCTCACCTGTCATAGCAAGTTTCTACTGCCTATTTCTAGAGTCTAGACTTTTTTCTCTCATCTTTACCCACTGCTCTTCACTTTTTAACCCCTACCACACTCCAGTACCTGTTCTACTTCTGTCTAATTCCTGACTCTCTCATTGCTATTTACTTCTTCCAACAAGGTCATGATATGAGAGGGGATCACTTTCAGTTTTATTTAGTTTGTCTCAGGCTGCTGTTGCCAGTCAAGATTATTTTGGATCCTGAATTTGTCATAATAAACATTAGGTATTTATCCCAAATCTAAAGTAATGTCTACAATTTGTTAATGGGTTTTGGAGTAATTCAGACCTCTGCTTGAATTCTGGTTCTACCACTTGTGACACAGGGCAAATAATCTCTCTGATCTACAGATTCTTAATCTGTAAAATAAAGTTAATGTTAAAAAAATAAAAATAAATAAATTTGTTAATAAAGTTGGTGTTCAGATCAAGCAAGGCATATTTCATCAAATCTAAAATACTATTGATTTCAACACATACTTCTGAGATATTAAAATATAAAAGCAATGTGTATCATAGAATTGATGCAATAATATATGTGCAATCCCTCAGCCCAATACCTAACCAAGAGCAAGTGCTGAGAAAACAAGAATTCACCTCCAACTCCCTTGTGTGTGCCTTATTCTGACCTTACTGCCTTCTTCCTCTTCAAAAATCTCTCAAAGTTACAGGGAAAAAAAAGCCAGAAGGGAAAGTAATGAATGAATAAAAGATCTGAGAATACTTTTGATCTTTCCTTTTGCTTAAACAGAGGCTTTTCTTCATTTAAAGTCTAAATAGTACTAATCCCAGATGTACAGTTTCCTGTAGAAAATGCTTGTTCCACTTTTGGAGCTAGTAGACATTTCAAGAACCAAGATTCAAAGATAGTTTTTCACTTGAGAAAAATGGGATGTTGCTTAGCCTTCATCATCACATGCCCAAGATCATAGTGTGTTTCTTGCCACAGGTATGTTTGGCCTGATGTCTCATCTTTTTGATACAAAAATATTATTTTTTACTGTAGGCACCTGTATGGCTGGCAGAAAAGTTTGGAAAGATAAACAGTACTAGATTATAAAGAAGCGTTTGGTCATGCTAATTAATTCAAACTCTTCTCCTGAAAGTGATGGGAGAACATAGAAAGATTTTATGTAGTTATGAATGAGATAATCAGGTAATCATATTTCCACTTCCAAAAAATCATTCAGGGGCAATGTGATGAAAAACTGCATGAATGAAAAAGTAGAGCACTAAATCTATACTGGAGCCAAAATCCACAAACAATCTAAAATTCTAAGTGAAAATAAATATATGGTCAAGAGCAATGGTCCAAATGCAGTTTAACACAGGGTCATCCAGCCATACACGTGGTCTCCATCAAGTAGAAAAAACAATGGCTTTAATATATACAGCTGGTGATTGCTTACATATTCAGGTTTCAGAGAGGAAATCCTAAAAGTAAAAAAATGCAGAAACTGTGTTAAGGCAGTTCAAGAGACTCTATGTAGCCTACGATTTTGCAGTAAAAGTGATTATAGTGCTTAGTTTACATTGCTATAAAGACAGAAATGCTATAGGTATGTAGCAAAGATCTAGGGATCAAGATATTCCATGGAACACCTGGATATCAGGTCTGGGCACCAAAGATATTCTTTGTACTTAATAGGCATCTTAAGGTAAATCTTGAAAAGGATTTTAAGACTAATAATTTTCACCATAAAGTCTGAAAGAAAATACCTAAAAAGGTATTCTCTCTGAAGGGAGCAAAAACACTCTAAAGAAGAAGAAAGTCAAGGTATCTTGGTTCTTTCTTGAGACAATTATTCACATTATGCCACTGTAATATCATCTCCAGGAGATTCCTACAGCTTCCTTAGAAAGGAGTCTTCCTTTAAGAGTTTAATGACACATAAAGAAATATTGGCTAATTAATCATAGAGTCTCTGGAGACAAAATAAATGGGAAGAACCTAACTGGGGAAAAAAAAGAAAAAGAAAAGAAGGCTTGACTGAGCCACTGCTGAGAAAGAGGAGGAACAAAACTAGAGTGGACCTCCATAGACTTTGGAGGCGGTATGTACCACATTATGGTGTGCTGTTTGGACTCACTGGCCAGGTGACTTGAACAGCTGTTATCTTTGAGGGGTATCCAGAGGAAGAGAGGTCTCGTTGCTGTATTGTGCTGCAGCACAAGCAGCTATTCCACTTTATCCTTGTTATTGTGCTTGTCCTGTGATGCCATGTCGGGGGTTGTATGGAGTCTATAGCAGATCTCAGGGAGCATATATCATGATGGAGGTCACTAAGATTAGGGTCAGTTCATTGAATGTTTAATGAGAGTCCAGTATGGGCCAGGATTTTTCTAGGTGCTTGTGGGCACAAAAGAAATGACATCGAGGAGTTAACATTCTGGTGGGGGGAAAGACAATAAAATTTAAATGGTAAGTAAATTATATAGTATATTAGAAAGTGAAAAGCACTTTTACTTTTACAAAAAAGTAAAACGAGTAGTGTAGATCAGGAGTTCTGGTGAGAGAGGAGGGGAAAGCTAGGCCTCCTGGAGAATGTGAGATTCAAGCAAACGCTAGAAGAGGAGGGAGTTTTCACGTGGATATTGGGATGAGGGACATTTCAGACAGAATAACAGCAAGAGCAAAGGCTGGCATGGCATGAGGAAAAGTATGGATGCCTATGTACAGAAAGACAAAAGAGTAAGAAGGAAAGTGGATGTCAGAAAAGTAATGGAGGGTCAGGCCCATTGGGCCTTTACTTAGGTTATGAGAGAAAGAGGATGGAAAGGTTTGGTACCAACTGTAAGCAGATTCTGTGACATGAAATAGGGGAGGTCACCTAGAGTTGGCCATGAAGGACAGTGGGGAAGAGAAAGTTTCCCAGTGGCTGAACCTTGTGTGATATATCTTGGAAGAGGAGACTAAGGTCCACATCCAAGTTTGTTCATAGGCTTGGTAAATAGTTGCTGCTGCACAAAGAGGGCAGAGAATAATATTGAGGTATCCAAGGAATGTGCTGGAGTACTTTTGGATACTCCATGCCTGGTGGTAGAAAGCAAGAAAAATCTCTGTTTGTGAAATGCATTCAGGGTCTCAAGGGTTAGATTCACCAAGTATAAAGGTTTGGGTTTCACACTGGGTAAGAATATCCGCCAGCTGGGATGCAGGCTGAAGGCTTATCGGGTAACCTGGAATGAGAGACCTGATGATCAACAATGCTATGTTCTATGATACACTGAAAACATCACAAAGTTGGGATTAAAAATTTTCTGAAGCTTTCAAAGTTACGCAAACTTGGTCTGCTGCCAAATACTAGTTGTAGAACATTAGACAAGTTACTTCGCTCCCCTAAGTTACAGTTTATTTATAAACCAGGGCTAATTAAAGCACCCACGTGAAAATGCTGAGAGGATTAAATGAGATGATGCATGCATAGAACTTAGCAGAGTGTTATTTTATTATTAATAAACCAAAATCATTTACTCCATTATACAGCATTATTATTTAATTTGCCTTAGATAGGAGCATAGATAATTAATCTATAGGCAGGAAAGTAGAGTATTTGAGTGCAGGTCCTATCAACTGGGAGTCTGTGAAAGTCCTTATTGCTTCTGTCTACTCAGTAAATTAGAAAGAAGCATCATCAGCTGAGAGTGGGGATAGGTTTTGAGAGTTTAAAGAGAGGCAAAGGTGTGAAATACTCATCCAGAATTTAAGGAGAGAGAAGAGACTTGGAACGTATAATATGATTAGCTGGAGAAAGCCATGTCTTTTATACAAATAAGTTGCACCTGGATAGTGTCTGAGTATTAGGAGAGATTAAATCTATAAACCTTGTAATATTATGTTCATATCACGCGGAATTCAGGTGACCATGTGGCAAGGCTGTCCATGAATGGTACATCTTATCTTTTTACACTTCTTACAGTCAGGCATACCCTGCCCTGCTGTGCTCTGTCATCAGGAGGAACTGCTTAAGCAAGCCCTGATGTCATAATTAGAAGGCAAGTGCTTTTGGTCCACACCTCTAGGCTGCCCACTACTCTTGTTCTACTACTCTTATCCCACCCAGGTTGAGGACTTCTGGAAATTTCTTAGACACAACCATCTGAAGGCAAAAAAGAAATGGAATAGGTACTGGAAAGTGAGTCATGCATAACTAATATGGTCTTATGATCAGGAGCAGAAACGATGAGTCTAATGTCAGTAGCTGTGACAGCAGTGTCTGCAACAGATTGATTTTTTTTATATGACTTTGGCTGTGGACCTGGCAGCTGCCTAGTTTTTCTTGCTCCTGCCTGTTTGGCAAACCTCGTTCTATAGGTTCCTGTGATTGTATGTATGAACTACCCTCTCCCCTGTTCATAGATTCAGCTACTTTCTTTTCTTTTCTTTTTTTCCTTTTTCTTTTTTTTTTTTTTTTTTTTTTTTGAGATGGAGTCTCACTCTGTCACCCAGGCTGGAGTGCAGTGGTGCGATCTTGGCTCACTGCAACCTACGCTTCCCGGGTTCAAGCGATTCTCCTGCCTCAGTCTCCCAAGTAGCCGGGACTACAAGCGCGCACTACCACACCCAACTAATTTTTGTATTTTTAGTAAAGACAGAGTTTCACCATGTTGGTCAGGCTGGTCTCAATCTCTTGACCTCGTGATCTGCCCGGCTTGACCTCCCAAAATGCTGGGATTACAGGCGTGAGCCACTATGCCTGGCCAGATTCATCTACTTTTTAAGGGAGCCAGGATTGGTTTCAGTTGCTTGGAACTGAGAAGCCTGACTGACAGTGGTGACTATGACTTGCATGAGAAATAAAAGATCACTGACTCTAAAAGCAATGCCATTAATCAGGAGGATTTTTCTCAGTGCACACGGCCGTTAGTGTAAATGTATAATTAAATACATGAGTTTCAGAAATTAGCTGGATTCCATGTTATATTCCTAGAGTTCTTGTATGAAGAACAATCAGAGAATCCTTCAGGACAAATGCAGAGTTCAAGAAATTCTTTTGGACAACAGTGGATGAGCCAATAAAACTGGGATACGAACGCTCATAGCAGCTTTATTCAACATCACCCCATACTAGAAACAACCATATACACATCAGGAGACAAATGGAAAAACAAATGTGATGTGTGATATAATGGAATATTATTTGGTAATAAAAAAGAATGAACTATTGAATAGGCAACAACATGTATGAATCTCACAAAACTTTACATTAAGTGAAAAAATCAGGCAAAAAAGAGTATATACTGTACTATTCCTTTTATATGAACTTCTAGAATTGGAAAAACTAGTCTACAGTGATGGAAATCAGATCAATGGTAGCCTGGGGCAAGGAGTAAGAGAGACTGCAAAAGGGCACAAAGCAATTTACTGAGTGATGGAAATGTATAATTTGAGTGGGGGTGGTAGCTACAAGGGTATATACATAATCAAATCTTACCAAATGTATCACACTTAAAACATGTGCATTTCATTTATTTAAATTATACCTCAACAGAGTTGGTTTAAAAATTACGTGCTGGTGGGACATAAATTTCTGGTAAACATAAGCTCTAAACTACCAGGGTAGTTTGGTATAGACTTCGGAGACAAACAGCTGGGTCTGAATCCAAGACACTACATCCAGTTAGGAGCTACGTAACCCTGGGAAAATTACTGCAGATATAGAAAATTGGTATCCTCATGCCTTTTACAGTGAGTTTAAAGGAGATAACACATGAAACTTCCAAGCATGTAGCAGAAACTCAACAAATAATAGTTTCAATAAATAACTGAATGGATTAATGGTGCCATAATTAATGCTACATACAAGCTTCCTTCTGAGCAAAGCAGATATTAGCAATTCCTTGCATGCAGATTGCTGTGTGGTAAGAAATTGTCACTGCACTAAAAGGTCACTATCTATAAACACAAATGAAAAAGGTCTAAGGCTTATGACATGGTCTGGCATGAGTCTAAGTATTCATATCCTGACATATATTATTGAGCATCACAGCTCTCATGAAGGAGTCTGAAGCTGTACAGTATTAGAACATGTTCTTTGTAGTCAAGACAGTCCTGGTCTGCTGCCATTTAGTCATTAAGAAATTTGGGCATACACATCTTTTCCTTAAACCTCAGTTTTTCATCTGTAAATGGGAGTGTATACAATAATCACCTCAAAGAGTTTTGGTAAGAATTAAATGAGATAATGCAAGCTAAGCATTTAGCACAGTATTATATTGTAATTAATAAATCAATATATTTTTTGCATTTATTTAATTGACCTACTCATTGTGGCCCACTTTTTATTTGTGATACCTTTCCACTAAGCAACATATAGAATAAGTCCAATTTAATATTTGAATGACTTTGGAGGAGCAAGAAATTATATTATAGGAAATTAAGATTTTGCATGGTTCCAGTTATAACAATAAGCTTACTATGTTAAAGCATATTTTAGACTCCTCATACCTATAACTAAGAAAGAAATGGGAATATTCTGAAGAGGAAGATTAGCATAGCTTCTCTTGACAATTACTTTAGGCATCATTCCAGAAGAATCTTCAAGGAGTTAAGCACATATCCAAAACCTCCATGGGTACCTCTCTAGAACTGGCTGGTGTAGCTAGAACAGTTAGCTAGAAGTATGTGCTACGTAAATCATGAATTCTTTGAGGGCTCATTAATCTCTTCATTCCCATTGTTTGCCACATGGTACGCACTCAACAGTTGTTATCTGGAGTGGGGGTTGGAGGGAAAATAAAAGCAACCAATATCAATAATAGCCTATGTAAGAGAACCTGTGCCTGTCTCTCAAGGCTCCAAGAAGGTACAATTATAAGAATGATTAGAAACCATTTATGAGCAGTGGCGAAAAGGACAGGAAATATTGAAAGAGGCACACCTAGAGAGCATGGAACATTAGCAACTTAAGCTACTTAATTGATACAGGAAGAAGTTATAAGCAGTGGAAAAATATACCATGTAATTGTGAAAATAAGAGGTTTCCCTTAGGATTTATTTAAAATTAGTCTAAGTAATTGAGCCACACAAAAGATAAAGAAGTCACATTTTAGCACCTGGGAAGCTACACTATTAATTGGCAAAATAAAATATAAGGAGGATAAACAAGCCTGAGATCAAACCTTACGGTTCTTTCTGCAATTCTGAAGACTTAATTTCAGGATATAAAAGTACTCAAAGAGTATTTTGTAATTACAAACGAATGAGAAGATCCATCCAGGAGGAATAATTATATAATTTCTGCCTGGCTTCATTGTGTGAGGCTTAGAGAACAGCAATAAATAGAATCCTCTATCATTATGACTGCTGCAGCCAATGACTCACCATTACGACTGGGACTACATCCTAGAATAGTTTTTTTCCCCTTTGTGTATCATATGAGAAATTAAACAGACTATGTTTCCCAGTAACTTTAAAAAATTTTAGAAAGAAACCCAAATTTGATTTTGTCTCTCAAGTTCTTGCCAGTAACGAGGTTAGCAATAAAGTTGAGCTATTATTAAAAATACAATAAATTCCTGTTTTGAAAATGTTTTTCATTTGCCTTAAACTGCTGGTCTTAACTGATGGGAAATTAATTTATATCTTCAGTGACCCATGGGTCATAAATATTTACAACATCAAAATATCATCTATGTAAATAATTGGGGTTCAGTTTCTGAAATCTTTGTTAACACTATAAATTGCATTAAGAAATTGGCTTTAATCTTGCTAGTGAGTTTTAATTAATGAATATTATAACAATATCATTATAAATTTACATATGATTTGTAAGAAATAATGGCACTTGAAGACTAGAAATATAATAGATAAAGAAACAGCATGAGTATAAACAAGTTACTCTGGAAACAAAAATAAAATCCTAATCTTTTAACTCCATTTACCTCAGCCTGATTCAAGAATTTGAAAAATTTTGCCATATAAGTTGGGCTTATTTAGTCAGTTCCATTACTATTTACAGGGGAAATGTAGTATTTCCTTTCAGTACAAGATTTGGTAATCTTTCACCAAGTGGACTCAGCCTTGGATGTTTTGCCTGGGGAAAACAAACAGTACAGCACTAAAGGGCAGCAGAAGTAATCAGTCCATGATAAGCTGGGCTGTAATGCAGAATTTTCCTCATGTTGACCCTAATAATATATCTGCAGTTTGTTTAACTTACATGCTAGGGATTCAAAGACAAATGAAACCTGTTCCTGAGCTAGTGGACCATGCAATCTCTGAACTTCCACACATAATGATGTCAGGTCCATACTCTGTGTTCCATGGGTGACTGGCTGCCCACGTCCACTCAAGCCACACCCAGATCACCTGGTTTAGGTCCCAGTTCTGTCACTTACTAGTTTCCTTACCTGCAACTTATTATTGGCAAGCACATTTCTGAACCAAGCCAACTGCTTACAAAATGAATGAAGGTCATTATAGTATGTGATCCACGTTTTACAGTATCTCTTATTATCCCACCCAAAGAATTTTTTTAAAATAGGAAGTAATACAGAATGTTTGGTATACCTAGCCTAACCAAGTCTTCTACCTTCTTGCTGCTTCCTCTACCTTCCTGTTCAAGATTATCAGATTACCTCTAATCTTTGGTCTTTGTGCTATATCTGGGATAAAATGCTGGAGGGTGGAGTTAGGCTGTATCCCCCCGCTAGAGATTCTCTTTTTGCTCCAGCCTAGACACTCTCCTGTTGCTGAACGTTCAGGGACACTGAATCAGAAGCTTTCCGGTAGATCTTCTGAAGCTAGCTCATAATTGAATATCACTCCTGTAGGGTAAATTCCAAGTTTCCCTGAAGGAAACTGGATTGGAAGAAGAAAAAAAGGTGACCCTGAGAGAAAATATCCAGGTCCGAGAGTGCCTAGCAGTGGCAGGCCATGGTGAGGAGCAGTACAGGTTCTGAGGGAAAAGAGACTGTGTCTGACAACTTGGAAGCCACACTTCCATCGCCACTCCATGAGTGTCCTGGGAGATCATAGTGTAGAAACCCCTGATTCCTAGCACATTGCTTCAGCGCACCTCTCCACCTTCCCTTTTTGTCCCTATAGTCACTGTGAGTGTCTAGAAAGTCCCTGGCAAGGGGAGGGGCAGGACTGCATAAATGAAGATGATGGAGAACAGCTGAGCAGTCTACCTGAATGCAGAAAAATGCCAGGGGAGGCAACAGGGCATGAGCTCAAGGAAACAGGATTTAAAATCTGGCTAGAGAGGACCATTCACTAGTTGTATAACTTTTAGTGAATGTTCCTTTCTAGCACAGACAGAATCTATTTTAGACATAAAAAGGGAAATGAATTATAATGCCATCTTTCACAACATTGTTGGCATGATCAAATGGAATATCTATGAAAGTGTGTTGTAAGCCATAGCAAACTGTGAACAGGTTTAATATATATTATTCTATTGTGAGAGTGAATAAGATAATGCAAAGTTCTTAACAGCAATGCAGCACTTGCTACATACTACCTATTGTCACTGCTGTTACTTTGTAGTTATTATTGTTAAAAGTAAACTATGGATGAGGGCTAATGAAGAAAGATGGATTGGAAAAAGCTAGATTCAAAATTACAAACAGAATTACCTTAACAGCATTAAAGAATACATAAGCTCAAAGAGAAAATCAGAAGAAAAAATATATAAATGTTATCAGTAGTTATCTCTGGGTGAAGAAATCCCAAGTTTAAAAGGGAGATTTATTACAAAGTTTGCTCAGCCTCTTTCTTTGAGGAAGTTTGTCCCCATTCCCTAGGCCACTTGAGTAGAGTAGAAGCAACTATGTCTTGACATTTTACTGTTCTGCCCCAGCCTGTGCTGTATATGACTGTGCTAGGGTGGGCTATTGACCTCAGTTGGGCCCATGAGTCTCTTTCTAAATAATCTAAGTATGAAAGGAGAGAGAGTATAATGCTTAAGTTTTTCTCTGCATAGATGAGCCATAAATTCTAAAACTTAGGCATGGCCATGCTTTCAGTCACATGGGTTGGAAAAGGCTGAACTACCAAAATACTTAAGAACACAGGAGAGGGTGGAGCCAAGATGGCCGAATAGGAATAGCTCCAGTCTACAGCTCCCAGCATGAGCGACACAGAAGACGGGTGATTTCTGCATTTCCATCTGAGGTACTGGGTTCATCTCACTAGGGAGTGCCAGACAGTGGGTGCAGAAGAGTGGGTGCAGCACACCGTGAGCGAGCTGAAGCAGGGCAAGGCATTGCCTCCCTCTGGAAGTGCAAGGGGTCAGGGAGTTCCCTTTCCTAGTCAAAGAAAAGGTTGACAGATGGCACCTGGAAAATCGGGTCACTCCCACCCTAATTCTGCGCTTTTCCAATGGGCTTAAAAAACGGCACACCAGGAGATTATATCCTGCACATGGCTCAGAGGATCCTACGCCCATGGAGTCTCGTTGATTGCTAGCACAGCAGTCTGAGATCAGACTGCAAGGTGGCAGTGAGGCTGGGGGAGGGGCACCTGCCATTGCCCAGGCTTGCTTAGGTAAACAAAGCAGCCAGGAAGCTCAAACTGGGTGGAGCCCACCACAGCTCAAGGAGGCCTGCCGGCCTCTGTAGGCTCCACCTATGGGGGCAGGGCACAGACAAACAAAAAGACAGCAGTAACCTCTGCAAACTTAAACGTCCCTGTCTGACAGCTTTGAAGAGAGTAGAGGTTCTCCCAGCACACAGCTGGAGATCTGACAACAGGCAGACTGCTGCCTCAAGTGGGTCCCTGACCCCCGAGCAGCCTAACTGGGAGGTACTGCCCAGTAGGGGCAGACTGACACCTCACACAGCCGGGTACTCCTCTTAGACAAAACTTCCAGAGGACCCATCAGGCAGCAGCATTTGCGGTTCACGAAAATCTGCTGTTCTGCAGCCACCGCTGCTGATACCCAGGCAAACAGGGTCTGGAATGGACCTCTAGCAAACTCCAACAGACCTGCAGCTGAGGGTCCTGTCTGTTAGAAGGAAAACTAACAAACAGAAAGGACATCCACACTAAAAACCCATCTGTACGTCACCATCATCAAAGACCAAAAGTAGATAAAACCACAAAGATGGGGAAAAAACAGAGCAGAAAAACTGGAAACTCTAAAAAGCAGAGCACCTCTCCTCCTCCAAAGGAATGCAGTTCCTCACCAGTAATGGAACAAAGCTGGACGGAGAATGACTTGACAAGTTGAGAGAAGAAGGCTTCAGATGATCAAACTACTCCAAGCTAAAGGAGGAAATTCAAATCAATGGCAAAGAAGTTAAAAACTTTGAAAAAAAATTAGATGAATGGATAACTAGAATAACCAATGCAGAGAAGTGCTTAAAGGAGCTGATGGAGCTGAAAGCCAAGGCTCGAGAACTACATGAAGAATGCAGAAGCCTCAGGAGCCGATGCGAACAACTGGAAGAAAGGGTATCAGTGATGGAAGATGAAATGAATGAAACGAAGCAAGAAGGGAAGTTAAGAGAAAAAAAGAATAAAAAGAAACGAACAAAGTCTCCAAGACATATGGGACTATGTGAAAAGACCAAATCTACGTCTGATTGGTGTACCTGAAAGTGACAGGGAGAATGGAACCAAGTTGGAAAACACTCTGCAGGATATTACCCAGGAGAACTTCCCCAATCTAGCAAGGCAGGCCAACTTCAGATTCAGGAAATACAGAGAATGCCACAAAGATACTCCTCGAGAAGAGCAACTCCAAGACATATAATTGTCAGATTCAACAAAGTTGAAATGAAGGAAAAAATGTTAAGGGCAGCCAGAGAGAAAGGTCAGGTTACCCACAAAGGGAAGCCCATCAGAGTAACAGCAGATCTCTCGGCAGAAACTCTACAAGCCAGAAGACAGTGGGGGCCAATATTCAACATTCTTAAAGAAAAGAATTTTCAACCCAGAATTTCATATCCAGCCAAACTAAGCTTCATAAGTGAAGGAGAAATAAAATACTTTACAGACAAGCAAATGCTGAGAGATTTTGTCACCACCAGGCTTGCCCTAAAAGAGCTCCTGAAGGAAGCACTAAACATGGAAATGAACAACCGGTATCAGCCACTGCAAAAACATGCCAAATTATAAAGACCATCAAGGCTAGGAAGAAACTGCATCAACTAATGAGCAAAATAACCAGCTAACATCATAATGACAGGATCAAATTCACACATAACAATATTAACTTTAAATGTAAATGGGCTAAATGCTCCAGTTAAAAGACACAGACTGGCAAATTGGATAAAGAGTCAAGACCCATCAGTGTGCTGTATTCAGGAAACCCATCTCACGTGCCGAGACACACGTAGACTCAAAATAAAGGGATGGAGGAAGATCTACCAAACAAATGGAAAACAAAAAAAGGCAGGGGTTGCAATCCTAGTCTCTGATAAAACAGACTTTAAACCAACAAAGATCAAAAGAGACAAAGAAGGCCATTACATAATGGTAAAGGGATCAATTCAACAAGAAGAGCTAACTATCCTAAATATATATGCACCCAATACAGGCGCACCCAGATTCATAAAGCAAGTCCTGCGTGACCTACAAAGAGACTTAGACTCCCACAAAATAATAATGGAAGACTTTAACACCCCACTGTCAACATTAGACAGATCAACGAGACAGAAAGTTAACAAGGATACCCAGGAATTGAATTCAGCTCTGCACCAAGTGGACCTAATAGATATCTACAGAACTCTCCACCCCAAATCAACAGAATATACATTCTTTTCAGCACCACACCACCCCTATTCCAAAATTGACCACATAGTTGGTAGTAAAACACTCCTCAACAAATGTAAAAGAACAGAAATTATAACAAACTGTCTCTCAGACCACAGTGCAATCAAACTAGAACTCAGGATTAAGAAACTCACTCAAAACTGCTCAACTACATGGAAACTGAACAACCTGCTCCTGAATGACTACTGGGTACATAACAAAATGAAGGCAGAAATAAAGATGTTCTTTGAAACCAATGAGAACAAAGACACAACATACCAGAATCTGTGGGACACATTCAAAGCAGTGTGTAGAGGGAAATTTATAGCACTAAATGCCCACAAGAGAAAGCAGGAAAGATCTAAAATTGACACCCCAACATCACAATTAAAAGAACTAGAAAAGCAAGAGCAAACACATTCAAAAGCTAGCAGAAGGCAAGAAATAACTAAAATCAGAGCAGAACTGAAGGAAATAGAGACACAGAAAACCCTTCAAAAAAATCAATGAATCCAGGAGCTGGTTTTTTGAAAGGATCAACAAAATTGATAGACCGCTAGCAAGACTAATAAAGAAGAAAAGAGAGAAGAATCAAACAGATGCAATAAAAAATGACAAAGGGGATATCACCACAGATCCCACAGAAATACCAACTACCATCAGAGAATACTACAAACACCTCTACGCAAATAAACTAGAAAATCTAGAAGAAATGGATAAATTACTCGACACATACGCCCTCCCAAGACTAAACAAAGAAGAAGTTAAATCTTTGAATAGACCAATAACAGGGTCTGAAATTGTGGCAATAAAAATAGCTTACCAACCAAAAAGAGTCCAGGACCAGATGGATTCACAGCCAAATTCTACCAGAGGTACAAGGAGGAACTGGCACCATTCCTTCTGAAACTATTCCAATCAATAGAAAAAGAGGGAATCCTCCCTAACTCATTTTATGAGGCCAGCATCATCCTGATACCAAAGACTGGCAGAGACACAACCAAAAAAGAGAATTTTAGACCAATATCCTTGATGAACATTGATGCAAAAATCCTCAGTAAAATACTGGCAAACCGAATCCAGCAACACATCAAAAAGCTTATCCACCATGATCAAGTGGGCTTCATCCCTGGGATGCAAGGCTGGCTCAACATGCACAAATCAATAAATGTAATCCAGCATATAAACAGAACCAAAGACAAAAACCACATGATTATCTCAATAGATGCAGAAAAGGCCTTTGACAAAATTCAACAATGCTTCATTCCAAAAACTCTCAATAAATTAGGTATTGATGGGATGTATCTCAAAATAATAAGAGCTATCTATGACAAACCCACAGCCAATATCATACTGAATGGGCAAAAACTGGAAGCATTCCCTTTGAAAACTGGCACAAGACAGGGATGTCCTCTCTCACCACTCCTATTCAACATAGTGTTGGAAGTTCTGGCCAGGGCAATTAGGTAGGAGAAGGAAATAAAGGGTATTTAGTTAGGAAAAGAGGAAGTAAATTCTCCCTGTTTGCAGATGACATGATTGTATATCTAGAAAACCCCACTGTCTCAGCCCAAAATCTCCTTAAGCTGATAAGCAACTTCAGCAAAGTCTCAGGACACAAAATCAGTGTACAAAAATCACAAGCATTCTTATACACCAATAACAGACAAACAGAGAGCCAAATCATGAGTGAACTCCCATTCACAATTGCTTCAAAGAGAATAAAATACCTAGGAATCCAACTTACAAGGGACGTGAAGGACCTCTTAAAGGAGAACTACAGACCACTGCTCAATGAAATAAAAGAGGATACAAACAAATGGAAGAACATTCCATGCTCACGCGTAGGAAGAATCAATATCGTGAAAATGGCCATACTGCCCAAGGTAATTTATAGATTCAGTGCCATCCCCATCAAGCTACCAATGACTTTCTTCACAGAATTGGAAAAAACTACTGTAAAGTTCATATGGAACCAAAAAAGAGCCCTCATCGCCAAGTCAATCCTAAGCCAAAAGAACAAAGCTGGAGGCATCACGCTACCTGACTTCAAACTATACTATAAGGCTACAGTAACCAAAACAGCATGGTACTGCTACCAAAACAGAGATATAGACCAATGGAATAGAACAGAACCCTCGGAAATAATGCCATATATCTACAACTATCTGATCTTTGACAAACCTGACAAAAACAAGAAATGGTGAAAGGATTCCCTATTTAATAAATGGTGCTGGGAAAACTGGCTAGCCATATGTACAAAGCTGAAACTGGATCCTTTCCTTACACCTTATACAAAAATTAATTCAAGATGGATTAGAGACTTAAATGTTAGACCTAAAACCATAAAAACCCTAGAAGAAAACCTAGGCAATACTATTCAGGACATAGGCCTGGGCAAGGACTTCATGTCTAAAACACCAAAAGCAATGGCAACAAAAGCCAAAATTGACAAATGGGATCTAATTAAACTAATGAGCTTCTGCACAGCAAAAGAAACTACCATCAACCTATGTTGCTGCAGTCCCTCTTGAAATTACCAAATAGGAGTATCACTCTTGGTAATTTAATTTTTATGGAGCTGGAAGGTGTAGATATTTGTGAATCTCCTACTTAAGGCCTAAATTAGATTTCTTCATTTAGAATAAGAAATATGTTTAAAAAGCATACATTTTATTTTTTTCTCCACATTTTCTGCACCTGAAAAGGGATCGTGTCAAAATGGGAGAAACCTACAAAATGGGAGGCAACTTACAAAATGGGAGAAAATTTTTGCAACCTATTCATCTGACAAAGGGCTAATATCCAGAATCTACAATGAACTCAAACAAATTTACAAGAAAAAAACAAACAAACAAACAAAACAAAAAAAGTGGGCGAAGGATATGAACAGACACTTCTCAAAAGAAGCCATTTATGCAGCCAAAAAACACATGAAAAAATGCTCATCATCACTGGCCATCAGAGAAATGCAAATCAAAACTGCAATGAGATACCATCTCACACCAGTTAGAATGGCGATCATTAAAAAGTCAGGAAACAACAGGTGCTGGAGAGGATGTGGAGAAATAGGAATACTTTTACACTGTCGGTGGGACTGTAAACTAGTTCAACCATTGTGGCAGTCAGTGTGGCGATTCCTCAGGGATCTAGAACTAGAAATACCATTTGACCCAGCCATCCCATTACTGGGTATATACCCAAAGGACTATAAATCATGCTGCTATAAAGACACATGCACACGTATGTTTATTGCAGCATTATTCACAATAGCAAAGACTTGGAACCAACCCAAATGTCCAACAACGATAGACTGGATTAAGAAAATGTGGCACATATACACCATGGAATACTATGCAGCCATAAAAAATGATGAGTTCATGTCCTTTGTAGGGACATGGATGAAACTTGAAATCATCACTCTCAGAAAACTATCACAAGGACAAAAAACCAAACACCGCATGTTCTCACTCATAGGTGGGAATTGAACAACGAGAACACATGGACACAGGAAGGGCAACATCACACTCCAGGGACTGTTGTGGGGTGGGGGGAAGGGGGAGGGATAGCATTAGGAGATATACCTAATTCTAAATGACGAGTTAATGGGTGCAGTACACCGACATGGCACATGTATACATATGTAACAAACCTGCACGTTGTGCACAAGTACCCTAAAACTTAAAGCATAATAATAATAAAATAAAATAAAATAAAAACACAGGAGAAGTGCAGAGAGGAGCAGAAAGAGGCCCCAAGTGAATCTTAACAGTCTTTGAGGCTTTGGAAACACATGTATTTCTATTGTAGTTTCTCTAAGATGAATTATACTTAAAATAAATGCCACTTTTTGCTTATCTAGCTTGACTATGCTTTATGAATGTTTTGTCAAATACAAATGATTTTTTTGTTTATGTTTTTTGTTACTTTTATAAATTTTCCATGATGGTTATGCACTTCTTTTATAAATAGAAAAAATATTTTAAAAAGTAGCTGTGCACATAATAAGTGAATAGAAAGGTAAGATACAGAACTCTAACACCAGCTATTTTGCAATCACTCAGAAGAGTAGATTTTTATATTAGGTTTAAGAAATGATTTCTACCCCCAGGAATCACTAGGAAAGGGAACGGGGCCTTGCAGAATATTAGCCGCTTGGTTTGATCTTAAGTCTCCAGATTCAAATTAACATTAGTAACATTAAGAGTGAATTAACAAAAAGCTCCAGCCTACTTGATCTCTACTCACATTCTTCTTGCAACTGAGTACTTACTTGTAGCAGTCATGGACTTGGTCCAAAAAAGCTCTTTGCAAAGAAAGTATTAAAAGCAGTGTGATTTCCTTGGCCTGCTCTCTTTATTCTGTTCAAGCACATTAATTTGCCAACTCAACAGAAACTGCTTCTTTTCTATTCCAGAGAAACAGCAGTAAATTTTGAACAGAAATATACAGCAGTAGGGTCTTCTTTTTTTTCTCTCTCTCAAATTAAATGCTAGTGCATTTTAAAGACTTTCAGGTTAAATCCCAGATTATTAGGTATTCTAAATTTTGTCTATGCATTTTTTGTTTGCCTTACCCTTAAGTCTTAAATAAGTTTATTTATTTTCATCTTTGAGGAGAAATGAATTTGCACAGAATAGAGTTCCAAGATGTAGATTGGGGATTTTGAAGAAACCACTACTCTTTGAGATGTATATTCTTTCTCATCAGCACACAGGAAAACAGCAAAGATGGTTTTTCACTGTAGTTTAAGTTGCATATCTGTAAAGTATTTCAGCACAGGTTTAACTGTGAGAAACAACATTCCTGAATATTCCGTTTTAAATACGTATAAATATCATGTGTGTCTCTGGCTGATTTTTTTTGCTCCCTCTAATAATAGGAAAGACTGCTGCAAGCTATGAGAGATTAACATCTATAAGTTATTTTGCCTTTTAGTTTAGTGGAGTGAGTTGATTTATCTCTGTTAAGCCAAGAATATGGCTCTAAGCTGAGCATACAATTAGACACGATCCCTTTTCAGGTGCAGAAAACGTGGAGAAAAAAATAAAATGTATGCTTTTTAAACATATTTCTTATTCTAAATGAAGAAATCTAATTTAGGCCTTAAGTGGGAGATTCACAAATATCTACACCTTCCAGCTCCATAAAAATTAAATTACCAAGAGTGATACTCCTATTTGGTAATTTCAAGAGGGACTGCGGCAACATAAACAGATCCAGACTTCAATCTCTGAAATTTGATTTAGCAAAATAAATTATTTGCCTGTTTTCAAATTGGTATGGTTTGCATTCCAATTTTGTTATTTTCTTTATCCTGAGCTCTTATGTTTCTTTTTTGTTATTTTTTATTATTGTTATACTTTAAGTTTTAGGGTACATGTGCATATTGTGTAGGTTAGTTACATATGTATACATGTGCCATGCTGGTGCGCTACCCCCACTAACTTGTCATCTAGCATTAGGTATATCTCCCAATGCTATCCCTCCCCCCTCCCCCCACCCCACCACAGTCCCCAGAGTGTGATATTCCCCTTCCTGTGTCCATGTGATCTCACTGTTCAATTCCCACCTATGAGTGAGAATATGCGGTGTTTGGTTTTTTGTTCTTGCGATAGTTTACTGAGAATGATGATTTCCAATTTCATCCATGTCCCTACAAAGGACATGAACTCATCATTTTTTATGGCTGACTTTTCTTTTTTGTGACAAACTTTCTCACTAAATGAGATAGCATGTTCTTCATCTAGAAAATAAATTGGGGGAGGAGGGACCAAACTGCCTTCAGAATCTTCACAGTGGGGCAACTGATGTTTTCTCTACAGAGATGTGCTGGCCTAAAGGCCACAGTCCTCACTTTTTGAAGGTTTGACAGCAAAACAAGATGGAGCCTGAACCCTTCTGTGCCTAGGCAGCATCTGTTTGGGAGAGTATCAATGCTTGACTCTCAGCTCTGTAGACTGTTGATGCAGAAAAAGGCCTAGGGCATCATCCTCCTATTTTAAAGATGAAGCAAGTAAAGTTCAGAGAAGAAAAGTGACTTGTCCAGGGTTTTCTAGTTTGTGGCACAGGTGGGCCTAAACCCAGGGCCGCCAGTTGCCCTTCCAGAACTCCTTCCTATGCTATTTGCCCTTGGCAGGCTAGTCAATTTTTACATTTAAAGCTGTATTTTTCTAGTTTTAAGTTAATTCCTCAAAAAGCAATACATTCTCTGAGGTTTCTAGCTTTGTGTCATTATCATGCAATCAATACCACTCTTGGAAATAAATTCAATAAAATGTTTATCAAATAGTTTTTGCTGCTTCTTGCAGGGGTCTCGTATACATTGGACATACTAGCTTTGTAAATCATATCAGCCAGCCAACGACCACTAACAAAATAGGTGAAGAAGGAGGTTTATAGCTTTGTGTCATTATCATGCAATCAATACCACTCTTGGAAATAAATTCAATAAAATGTTTATCAAATAGTTTTTGCTGCTTCTTGCAGGGGTCTCATATACATTGGACATACTAGCTTTGTAAATCATATCAGCCAGCCAACTGCCACTAACAAAATAGGTGAAGAAGGAGATCAGAAGGTGTAGGAGGTAATGAAGTTACCAAGAACCCAACAGTGCCAGGAAACTTATGAGCTAGGTAATATATTTTCCATTTTACAGAAAGCAAAATTGAGGTTAGAAAAGCTAAGTAATTGTCCCAAGGACCTACTTGTATAGCAGAGCTAAGATCTCAATCTGAACTACTTTGATTCCAAAGTTCTTCTTTCTTAAACTAAGTATTTGTAAACCAAATAGCAAAACAGGGGATGGTGCTCTTTAGAAAGATCTAAAGTATTATTCATAAACACTGCTTTTTAAGTCCGTGTATTCCTCTGGCCCTTTGGCTGTTCCCCATGAAAGAAGGTCAAGTACTTAAAGACTCCTTTTAGTCATGTTGTTAATAAATGAAGCAATGTTATTTAAACCTTTGGGTGCTATTGTCAGTCAAAGATACCACTGATTTTTCTCTCCCACATAGGGAAATGAACACAAGGTCATGGAAGCTCTGGAAAATTATAAATTTTTCAGGGTAGTCCTATTCATCTGGTGCCAGAGTGAATTTGGATTGGCTCTGGGAGGTCACCTTGGTCACATCTGAGTTCGCTTGTCATTCTCATTTTGCTCAAAAGAGTCTAAGCATTAAACTCCAAATGGCCAGCTTTGTACCACTGATTATTAATTTTAGGAAACTCATGTGTAGATTTGCAACAAATGAATAACAAATGTTCCTGGAAAGACAGCTGTAAACCAAAGTTTGGTTTAATTTTTAAAAACTCATTACTAATCATCACTCTTTTAAAATTACTAATGGTAATGACTCACAATTATATAGAGTTTAACAGCTGACCAAATATTTTCACATATATAATCTCATTTAATTCTCACGAGCAACCTTTCAGTAAAATTCAAACATAAGTGAGTGTTAATCTCTGTTATGAATTGGGGAAGGCCCTAGAGATACAAAAATAAATAAGAAATGGCCCTTGTCCTCAAGGAACTCACATAGATACAAAAATAAATAAGAATGACCCTGTCCTCAAGGAACTCACCTTTTTTATTATTTTCATATTCTGCAAGATCAGGCCAATAAACCTTAGAAATTAGAATATACTTGCTCATTAAGTCCAGTTACATGGAGTACGAAATTGGAGTTGTTTGATACCAAAACTTATTTTACTTCATTAACCTTCTGCTCAGCATGGAGTAGAAATGTAAAGGAGTTATAAACATTTGTTAAATTATCTTCCTTAATTTATTCATTTTTAGTCCATGATTTTTATAAATTGGGGAATTTTAAGGCGATGGACACCCTTGTAACCTTTCTTGCTGTCAATACAATGTTTTCTGTTTCTATTGTTTAAAGGAAAAGTTTTCATTATATGTTTTGTTAAACAGAAACAGCATCCAAGTTATGATGTTAACATAGCATATTCAACTAAGCAATTCATCGAGTATAATAGCTAAGTATGCTATTAGATAGTATTGTGGGTCTCACAATTGAGAAGATGAAGACTTGGGTAGAGCCATATGTGCAAAAGGTAAGTTACTAAAAGGTTAGACACAAAGAAATTGTGAAGAAAGGTTCAGGGAATTTGGCTTTAGGATGAGAGCTGAATAACATCTTGATAGCAATCTTCCTGTGCAAAAGGAGTCATTATGTGAGCTGTTTTCTACATCTAAGAACAGAAGAAAGTGAGTTAGTTCAAAGTGCAGCCCTAGGGATTTAGGTTAGCTATGAAAAACGACTTGCTGACAGGTGAGATTGTCAGTTACTAGAACTAGATACCAAGAGAAGTTGTTGAATCTCCCAAAAAAAAAAAAAAAGATTTCAAATCTCTTGTTATGGTTCAAATGTGACATGGCCTCAGACAGAAGGGTGAACTAGATGGCTTCCCAAGTTTCTTTCCAGCTCAGTGACTCTATCACTATAATGATTTCAGTCTCTAAAAGCATTTTTCCATGGTGTACTTAACGTACTACTTTTACTTTGCTAATAGTTCCATATAAGCATTCCATGTAGGTAATAACCTTAATTTATGTTTATTTCTCCAAAGGTCAGCTACAATTTAAAGAATTTAAACATACCTTGACCAATGTTTCTAAATGTTAAAAGGTCAAATGTAGGAAACTGCCAACATTTTGAAAACTGTTGTCCTTTTCACGCATTAAGCTTCATAAGAATTCCAAACCACGGAGAACCCAGGGGAGATGATTATTTTAAAGCTCTGAGATGATAACATTTCCCTGAAGTATCCCTCACAGGTCTCAGGCTTTTTCTCACCAAAAATAATTTGAAATTGGTCT
Organism: Homo sapiens; assembly: GCF_000001405.40. Taxonomy (NCBI): domain Eukaryota; kingdom Metazoa; phylum Chordata; class Mammalia; order Primates; family Hominidae; genus Homo; species Homo sapiens. The sequence continues at coordinate 66,193,470 of NC_000001.11, read as the reverse complement.
TCAGTGACTTCTCCGAAGTAAGTGAAGCACACTAGAGGAACAGGAAGGAACGGGATATGGTGAACCTACAATATCATTCCATCATTGATTTGACAACCAAGAAATAGCCTAGGATGTTTCAGGAATCTGGTTTGGTAAAATACAAAGTTGAGATTAGAATTCAAGTATTTTGGCTCCCTGAACAGTGACTGCTTCATAAAATATATTTTTCATTTTCAAAGACTCAAACCAAAGGCAGTTTAAAAAATTAGTTTCAAAATATATCCAGATGTTTAAAGGACTAGACAAACAACATGAAATTCCTTTCTTGTGGAAACATCTTACTTTCTTTCCATATATGATCATGAAGTCAGGTACCTTCCCACACTGACAGACATATTCCAGCTCTGTGTACAAATAAAATCCATATCTTTTTAAATGGATTTGTTATGTGTCAATTTAGCAATTCTTCATAACTGTTAAAAGTAGGCTTTAATGGCAGAAAAACTTGGGTTAATCTTGACTTTACCAAGTCTTTATATTTGTGTGACTTTGGGCAAGTACCTTAAACTTTTTGTTTCTTCATCTGCAAAATATAGATAGACTGAGGTATGATTATATGTTTGGTGCTTAACACAGGCCTGGCAAACACCAAGTGCTCAGTAAACTGTTGCTGCTCCTGCTATTATTATTATTATTAATTGCCATATGTCTCAAGACTCAGAAATTACCCTAAGACTTGATGAGAGATACAGCCTTTGTATTTGGCATAAAGGATAAAGGGACTCTTTTTTAGGACAATAAAAGTTTTCCCCGAAACCATGAAAGCCATGTCTCCATTGTCAAAAGAATATTCACTTTAACGGATATTTCCTATATTTCTTGAGAACCTCACAGGTGACTGAGACTCCGCTAGGGGTAATGGGTATAAATATGAAGGAAACAGTCATGATCTTCCGGGGTTTCATGGCCAAGAGGTGAAAGAATCATATAAATAGGTAAGCACAGCATGATATGGACAAGCAAACAGTAAGGACAGTACAGTGAGAAGAGCTAGGAGGATGCAGAAGGGCAGTGGGCAGAATTGGGAAGGGCTTGTCAGAGATTGAGATCAGTTCGGTTGAGTCTAAATTCTAAGTGAAAAGACAACAGGGGATTATGATTACCAAATGGTTTTTTTAAATTAAAATTTTATAGGCAAAAAGAAGTCACTGATCAAATTATTTGCTTATCTGCCTGATCTTCAGTTGGGTAGAAAGGATCACAAAAGAGTCTTCAATTGATACAAAGAGACACAGAGAGAGAGAGATAGAACAGTTTTGGACACAAGGCCCTAGACATACACATATATATTAGTAAATACTTACCAAGTAAGCCTTTTTTAGTACATCAGGGATAGTTATCAATGTAAGAAGTTCATTTTATTATCATCTTATTTTTCCTAAAAAGACTTCTGATATGGTTTGGCTGTGTCCCCACCCAAATCTCATCTTGAATTGTAGCTCCCATAATTCCCAAGTGTTGTGGGAGGGACCCGTGGGAGATAATTGAAATCATGGGGTGTTTTCCCCCATACTATTCTCAAGGTAGTGAATAAGTCTCACAAGATCTGATGGTTTTATAAGGGTTTTCCCTTTTGCTTGGTTCTCATTCCCCCTGGTCTGCTGCTATGTGAAACGTGCCTTTTGCCTTCTGCCATGATTGTGAAGTCTCCCCAGCCACGTGGAACTGTGAGTCCATTCAACCTCTTTTCCTTTATAAATTACCCAGTCTCGGGTATGTCTTTATCAGCAGCGTGAAAAGGGACTAATACTCCTTAAAGACAATTATCTAGGTAACGCTCTCGATTCTCCCCTTCCACTTGCATGTAGATTCTTATTCTTAACTTGACAAAAAGGCAGACACATAAGTAGGGTCATTATTGATAACCCTAGGTAGTCTATTGACTCGACAGTAATCTGATTATGTGGCTCACATTTACTTTGATGTGAATTAAGATTTTAATTTCTGCTAATTTTTAAATATACATTGTAAAATGAATTTTACTAATAACAGGAGCAACAGATCAGTCTTTTAAATGTTATGAGACTTGTGAATGTATAGGAGAAATAACCTAAACTCTCTAATAAATCATTCACATAAATAACCTCAAAGAAGATGCTTAAGTGTTTAAAGTATTAAATGCTTATGAGGATGTAGCTCACAAAATTTATCAATACATAAAACACATTCTTTGCTGAATTGACCTCTTTCTCCATTAGGTACTGGAGTCCTAGATACAAGTTTTAGGAGCTCCCTAGACAATACATACCATTTTTCATAATGTATACTACACTAACATGTAAGCAGAAATCACAGCAGCAACAAAATCAAAAGATTATATGGTAAGGTAAGGTCCAAACTTTTCTGAGATTATTTGAAGACACATAATGAATATAAATATATTTCAACTCTTTGCTTTCAAATAATTAAAATGAGAAACAATTTACCAAATGAAAAACTCCAGGGGGTGGAGTCAAGATGGCTGAATAGGAACAGCTCCAGTCTACAGCTCCCAGCGTGAGTGACGCAGAAGACGGGTGATTTCTGCATTACCAACTGAGGTACCGGGTTCATCTTACTGGGGAGTGTTGGACACTGGGTACAGGACAGCACGTGCAGCACACCGAGTATGAGCCAAAGCAGGGTGAGGCATCGCCTCACCCAGGAAGCCCACGGAGTCAGGGAATTCCCTTTCCTAGTCAAAGAAAGGGGTGACAGATGGCACCTGGAAAATCAGGTCACTCCCACCCTAATACTGCACTCTTCCAATGGTCTTAGCAAATGGCATACCAGGAGATTATATCCCACGCCTGGCTCAGAGGTTCCTATGCCCACAGAGCCTCACTCATTGCTAGCACAGCAGTCTGAGATCAAACTGCAAGGTTGCAGGCAGCGAGGCTGGGGGAGGGGTGCCCGCCATTGCCAAGGCTTGAGTAGGTAAACAAAGTGGCTGGGAAGAATGAACTGGGTGGAGCCCACCACAGCTCAAGGAGGCCTGCCTGCCTCTGTAGACTCCACCTCTGGGGGCAGGGCATAGCCAAACAAAAGGCAGCAAAAACCTCTGCAGACTTCAATGTCCCTGTCTGACAGCTTTGAAGAGAATAGTGGTTCTCCCAGCACGCAGCTGGAGATCTGAGAATGGACAGACTGCCTCCTCAAGTGGGTCCTTGACCCCCGAGTAGCCTAACTGGGAGGCACCCCCCAGTAGAGGCAGACTGACATCTCACACGGCCAGGTACTCCTCTGAGACAAAACTTCCAGAGGAATGATCAGGCAGCAACATTTGCTGTTCACCAATATCAGCTGTTCTGCAGCCTCCACTGCTGATACCCAGGCAAACAGGGTCTGGAGTGGACCTCCAGTAAACTCCAACAGACGTGCAGCTGAGAGTCCTGACTGTTAGAAGGAAAACTAACAAACAGAAAGGACATCCACACCAAAACCCCATTTCTTCATCACCATCATCAAAGACCAAAGGTAGATAAAACCACAAAGATGGGGAAAAAACAGAGCAGAAAAACTGGAAACTCTAAAAAGCAGAGCACCTCTCCTCCTCCAAAGGAATGCAGCTCCTCACCAGCAATGGAACAAAGCTGGATGGAGAATGACTTTGATGAGTTGAGAGAAGAAGGCGTCAGACAATCAAACTACTCCAAGCTAAAGGAGGAAGTTCGAACTCATGGCAATGAAGTTAAAAACCTTGAAAAAAAAATTAGATGAATGGCCAACTAGAATAACCAATGCAGAGAAGTCCTTAAAGGACCTGAGGGAGCTGAAAACCATGGCATGAGAACTACGTGACGAATGCACAAGCCTCAATAGCCTATTCGATCAACTGGAAGAGAGGGTATCAATGACGGAAGATCAAATGAATGAAATGAAGCGAGAAGAGAAGTATAGAGAAAAAAGAATAAAAAGAAACAAACAAAGCCTCCAAGAAATATGGGACTATGTGAAAAGGCCAAATCTACGTCTGATTGGTGTACCTGAAAGTGACAGGGAGAATGGAACCAAGTTGGAAAACACTCTGCAGGATATTATCCAGGAGAACTTCCCCAATCTAGCAAGGTAGGCCAACATTCAACTTCAGGAAATACAGAGAATGCCACAAAGATACTCCTCGAGAAGAGCAACTCCAAGACATATAATTGTCAGATTCACCAAAGTTGAAATGAAGGAAAAAATGTTAAGGGCAGCCAGAGAGAAAGGTCAGGTTACCCACAAAGGGAAACCATCAGACTAACAGCTGATCTCTTGGCAGAAACTCTACAAGCCAGCAGAGAGTGGGGGCCAATATTCAACATTCTTAAAGAAAAGAATTTTCAACCCAGAATTTCATATCCAGCCAAACTAAGCTTCATAAGTGAAGGAGAAATGAAATACTTATAGACAAGCAAATGCTGAGAGATTTTGTCACCACCAGGCTTGCCCTAAAAGAGCTCCTGAAGGAAGCACTAAACATAGAAAGGAAAAACTGGTACCAGCCACTGCAAAGACATGCCAAATTGTAAAGTCCATCGAGGATAGGAAGAAACTGCGTCAACTAATGAGCAAAATACCCAGCTAACATCATAATGACAGGATCAAATTCACACATAACAATACTAACCTTAAATGTAAATGGACTAAATGCTCCAATTAAAAGACACAGACTGGCAAATTGGATAAACAGTCAAGACCGATCAGTGTGCTGTATTCAGGAAACCCATCTCATGTGCAGAGACACACATAGGCTCAAAATAAAGGCATGGAGGAAGATCTACCAAGCAAATGGAAAACAAAAAAGGCAGGGGTTGCAATCCTAGTCTCTGATAAAACAGACTTTAAACCAACAAAGATCAAAAGAGACAAAGAAGGCCATTACATAATGGTAAAGGGATCAATTCAACAAGAAGAGCTAACTATCCTAAATATATATGCACCCAATACAGGAGCACCCAGATTCATAAAGCAAGTCCTGTGTGACCTACAAAGAGACTTAGACTCCCACACAATAATAATGGGAGACTTTAACACCCCACTGTCAACATTAGACAGATCAACGAGACAGAAAGTTAACAAGGATACCCAGGAATTGAATTCAGCTCTGCACCAAGTGGACCTAATAGCTATCTACAGAACTCTCCACCCCAAATCAACAGAATATACATTCTTTTCAGCACCACACCACACCTATTGCAAAATTGACCACATAGTTGGAAGTAAAACACTCCTCAACAAATGTAAAAGAACAGAAATTATAACAAACTGTCTCTCAGACCACAGTGCAATCAAACTAGAACTCAGGATTAAGAAACTCACTCAAAACTACTCAACTACATGGAAACTGAACAACCTGCTCCTGAATGACTACTGGGTACATAACAAAATGAAGGCAGAAATAAAGATGTTCTTTGAAACCAACGAGAACAAAGACACAACATACCAGAATCTCTGGGACACATTCAAAGCAGTGTGTAGAGGGAAATTTATAGCACTAAATGCCCACAAGAGAAAGCAGGAAAGATCTAAAATTGACACCCCAACATCACAATTAAAAGAACTAGAAAAGCAAGAGCAAACACTTTCAAAAGCTAGCAGAAGGCAAGAAATAACTAAAATCAGAGCAGAACTGAAGGAAATAGAGACACAGAAAACCCTTCAAAAAAATCAATGAATCCAGGAGCTGGTTTTTTGAAAGGATCAACAAAATTGATAGACCGCTAGCAAGACTAATAAAGAAGAAAAGAGAGAAGAATCAAACAGATGCAATAAAAAATGATAAAGGGGATATCACCACAGATCCCACAGAAATACCAACTACCATCAGAGAATACTACAAACACCTCTACGCAAATAAACTAGAAAATCTAGAAGAAATGGATAAATTCTTCGACACATATGCCCTCCCAAGACTAAACCAGGAAGAAGTTAAATCTTTGAATAGACCAATAACAGGGTCTGAAATTGTGGCAATAATCAATAGCTTACCAACCAAAAAGAGTCCAGGACCAGATGGATTCACAGCCAAATTCTACCAGAGGTACAAGGAGGAACTGGTACCATTCCTTCTGAAACTATTCCAATCAACAGAAAAAGAGGGAATCCTCCCTAATGCATTTTATGCGGCCAGCATCATCCTGATACCAAAGACTGGCAGAGACACAACCAAAAAAGAGAATTTTAGACCAATATTCTTGATGAACATTGATGCAAAAATCCTCAGTAAAATACTGGCAAACTGAATCCAGCAGCACATCAAAAAGCTTATCCACCATGATCAAGTGGGCTTCATCCCTGGGATGCAAGGCTGGTTCAACATATGCAAATCAATAAACGTAATCCAGCATATAAACAGAACCAACGACCAAAACTACATGATTATCTCAACAGATGCAGAAAAGGCCTTTGACAAAATTCAACAACCTTCATACTAAAAACTCTCAATAAATTAGGTATTGATGGGACATATCTCAAAATAATAAGAGCCATCTATGACAAACCCACAGCCAATATCATACTGAATGGGCACAAACTGGAAGGATTCCCTTTGAAAACTGGCACAAGACAGGGATGCCCTCTCTCATCACTCCTATTCAACATAGTGTTGGAAGCTCTGGCCCGGGCAATTAGGCAGGAGAAGGAAATAAAGGGTATTCAATTAGGAAAAGAGGAAGTCAAATTGTCCCTGTTTGCAGATGAGATGATTGTATATCTAGAAAACCCCATGGTCTCAGCCCAAAATCTCCTTAAGCTGATAGGCAACTTCAGCAAAGTCTGAGGATACAAAATCGATGAGCAAAAATCACAAGCATTCTTATACACCAATAACAGACAAACAGAGCCAAATCATGACTGAACTCCCATTCACAATTGCTTCAAAGAGAATAAAATACCTAGGAATCCAACTTATAAGGGACGTGAAGGACCTCTTCAAGGAGAACTACAAACCACTGCTCAATGAAATAAAAGATGATACAAACAAATGGAAGAACATTCCATGCTCATGGGTAGGAAGAATCAATATCGTGAAAATGGCCATACTGCCCAAGGTGATTTATAGATTCGATGCTATCTCCATCAAGTTACCAATGACTTTCTTCACTGAATTGGAAAAAACTACTTTAAAGTTCATATGGAACCAAAAAAGGGCCCGCATCACCAAGTGAATCCTAAGCCAAAAGAACAAAGCTGGAGGCATCACGCTACCTGACTTCAAATTATACAATGAGGCTACAGTAACCAAAACAGCATGGTGCTGGTACCAAAACAGAGATATAGACCAATGGAACAGAAAGAGCCCTCAGAAATAATGCCGCATATCTAAAACTATCTGATGTTTGACAAACATGACAAAAACAAGAAATGGGGAAAGGATTCCCTATTTAATAAATGGTGCTGGGAAAACTGGCTAGCCATATGTAGAAAGCTGAAACTGGATCCCTTCCTTACACCTTATACAAAAATTAATTCAAGATGGGTTAAAGACTTAAATGTTAGACCTAAAACCATAAAAATCCTAGAAGAAAACCTAGGCAATGCCATTCAAGACATAGGCATGGGCAAGGACTTCATATCTAAAACACCAAAAGCAATGGCAACAAAAGCCAAAATTGACAAATGGGATCTAATTAAACTAAAGAGCCTCTGCACAGCAAAAGAAACTACCATCAGAATGAAAAGGCAACCTACAGAATGGGAGAAAATTTTTGCAATCTACTCATCTGACAAAGGGCTAATATCCAGAGTCTACAATGAACTCAAACAAATTTACAAGAAAAAACAACTCCATCAACCAGTGGGCGAAGAAGATAACAGACACTTCTCAAAAGAAGACATTTATGCAGCCAAAAAACACATGAAAAAATGCTCATCATCACTGGCCATCAGAGAAATGCAAATCAAAACCACAATGAGATACCATCTCACACCAGTTAGAATGGCAATCATTAAAAAGTCAGGAAACAACAGGTGCTGGAGAGGATGTGGAGAAATAGGAACACTTTTACACTGTTGGTGGGACTGTAAACTAGTTCAACCATTGTGGAAGTCAATGTGGCGATTCCTCAGGGATCTAGAACTAGAAATACCGTTTGACCCAGCAATCCCATTACTGGGTATATACCCGAAGGGTTATAAATCATGCTGCTATAAAGACACATGCACACGTATGTTTATTGCGGCACTATTCACAATAGCAAAGATTTGGAACCAACCCAAATGTCCAACAATGATAGACTGGATTAAGAAAATGAGGCACATATACACCATGTAATACTACGCAGCCATAAAAAACGATGAGTTCATGTCCTTTGTAGGGACATGGATGAAGCTGGAAACCATCATTCTCAGCAAACTATCGCAAGGACAAAAAAACCAAACACCGCATGTTCTCACTTATAGGTGGGAATTGAACAATGAGAACACATGGACACAGGAAGGGGAACATCACACACCAGGGCCTGTTGTGGGGTGGGAGGAGGGGGGAGGGATAGCATTAGGAGATATACCTAATGTTAAATGACGAGTTAATGGGTGCAGCACACCAACATGGCACATGTATACATATGCAACAAACATGCACGTTGTGCACATGTACCCTAAAACTTAAAGTACAATAAAAAAAAGTAAACTGGGGCACAATAAAGTTAAAGAGTTAAAAAAAAAAAGAAAAACTCTGAGGTATTACTATTTTCTTATAATAACAATACAGTAAAAACAACCATTCACAACTAATAAGGATAATATTTATGTATTACTTGGTGCTTTGCCAAGTGTGCTTCTACACCTCGTTATATTTAAGCTATGTGGTATCCATGTGAAGTGTTACTGTAGCACGTGAAGAAGGCTAAATTCATAGAGTAAGTGCACTTTTAGCTAACAGGTTAAGGGATATGTTCTCTCAAATAGAGAAATTACTAAGTTAATCCTGAATCTTCTTCCATCCAGAACTACCTGTTACTAAGTGCTGTTGGTTCTAACCCATAGCTTTTGGTAAAATTTTTCTTTGCTTTTCATTTCTTCCTTACTAAAATGAAAGACCTATAAAGGCAGAGAGTTTGTCTATGATTGCCATATTCTCATTTCTGGAATAGTGGCTGGCAGATAATAGATGCTCAATAAATATTTTTAAACAAATAAATTCCTATAATTCTGTTTCTTCAAACCTCCCTACCCTGGATTTATATGGAACCTCCTAATTGGCACCATGAGCCAGATTTTCTTTTCTCTCATGTACCTTACACTTGACTGCTTGATGGATTTTACTAAAGGACAGATTTGTTTTACTCCCTAGCTTCAGCATTTAAATGTCTCATTATTATTACAAACTTCTCACCCTGGCATTTAGGGTCAGCCACTAATAGCCTGACCTACCTTTCACCAGATCCCTGCCTTCAGTTTCCAAACATTGTTTGTGTCATTCCCATCATCCCTCAGATCATCTTGCCTATTTGACTCTGTTCACGCAGGTCCCTTGACTCCCGAAGGCCACATCCATCATCTTTACCTATTGAAACATTATCAGTCTTTGAATATTGCTCTGAAATGCCCCCTTCATTCAAGACCCACTGTCAGGTGCCAACACTTTGTCTTATGCACCTATGTTATTCTGCCTTGTGATTTAAGGTACGTGTGGATGCTTGTTTTGTCCTCAGTTCTCTAAGCTCACTAAGACTGACAACTATATCTTATGTATCTTTTACCTTAAATAATTTACCACATGTAATAAATGGTCAACACGTCTCTGCTAAGTTGAAGTGATTTCAAAAGATAGGGCACAGGATTGGAAAACATGGTGATAAATATAACATCTGCCTTATAGTTTTGTCTAACAAATGCAACTGGAAAAAGTGAAAGTGATAATGCTTTGCAAACTTTAAAGTGCTATACAGATTCAGGTATTTTTCAACTGTATTTCATGGAACTTGTCGGATAAATAAGAAATGAAAGCTACTCAGTTATTATGAGTCCTTCCTGTCATTGCTCGTGTTAAATGAGGGGAGGGGAAAAGGAGAACATTCTTTTGCTCCCAGCAGCCAAATTGCCCAGCAGATGAAAAATTAGCATCTGAACATATTTTATCATTAATGCTCAGCTGTATCCCTAAATTGCTATGTGATAGCATTTAGAAATGGTTCTTTGTGATATTATTTGGAGGATTAGAGTTTATCATGTATTTAATGTATTAAGCTGATAAAAAAGACATATCCCCAAACAAGGAAACAAAAAAATCTTTACTGGAAAACACTGTAATTCTACTCTGTGTTCCTATCATTGTCTATGGGGGCCCCTCATTTAGAACTCAGCACAAAAGGCTGCCTGTGAAGACAGAAGGGGAGGAAATGGTGTTGGGAACTGGTCTGGGTGGTGAGAGCAGTCTTGTCTCCAAAGAAAGCTGTTTCCCATGCCACATTCTGCTTCAGATATTCCTGACTTTAAAGACAAGCTGGATACAGGTTATGATATCTGAGAACTTTGGACAAATGTGGCTCATTGTGATATAATCTGATTTCAGAAGGGCTTACGCAATTCACATTCCTTGTCTGAGGCTTTCCCACATTTCTGGATAGCTGATGATATTTTTTTCTCTTTTTAAAATTCAGTAAAGGAGAAAACATCTGCCCATTATCTGAAAGGCTATAACAGCCACCTCTTTGGAGTGAGAGTGGGGCTATGAATCACTGTTTTTCTGTTTCTTCATTTCATTTATGTGCAGGTTTACTAGACACCCTGGACTGGTTTGAAACCTCCCAATGACGTCAATGGGGCAGAAAAATTGGAGCAGCGGAGACAGCTGCTATGCACCAACTCTACTGAGGTTTTATTCTTTTCTCCCAGGGTGACATCTGAGACAGATATTATCAATCAAGCCCTCCTGGCTCAGCACCAAATCAAAGGTACTTTATCATTCAAAGCAGTAAAAGCTGCAATTAGATTATCTCTTCAGCTTTTTCCCTAGCAATATTTTGTTCATGATAATTAATAATGCAATTAAAACTGAATTAAATAAGAGAATGCTTACTAAAACATTTAACTTAAATAGGAGAGCAATTTTCTTTAATGTCTCTTTAAAAAATTATTAAAGATCATTCTCTATATATGTTTTGTATAAAAATTCTAAACAAATTATTATATTTCCCCAAAACAATAATAAAGCCAAATGATGAATTCTGACGTGTTTCCAAGAAATGTCCAAATGTTCAGAAAAAAATAGGTACAGATATAACGAAGCTTTACCATCATTTAGGAAGCAAACAACAACCACACCGAAAAACCCTGTGACAACTGACAGGAAGGAAGCTAGTGCTCTGCGAATTAACATTTATTTCAAAAACATTCAAAATAAAACCAAAAAGAAAGAAGCAGAGCCAACTGCTTTTTTGCTTGCTAGGCATAACATATTATTTACTGACTTTTTAAGCCCTTTTTTGAGGAATGGTCTTTCTTGCCTGAGTAAATAATAATATATTGAAATCAAAAAAAATAGCATTTAATATAATTATTTAAAGTAAAGGTCTTTGCTCTATCTTTTTTTCCCTCTATTTTTTTAAAAGAAGGGAACTTCAAACTACTAAGGCTATCCAAGGCCAATCATAGCAAATCAAACTAATAAATGCACTGAAGATAGATTTTTGTTCGTTTTTAAAGTTCCCTAGGAAAGCTAGGCATAGAACACTCTAACCAGAGTGAAAAGTAGGGAACTGACTGCAATCTCATCTTCCCTTTCATTCTGGAGTATTTGTTGGCAAACAATGCTGGTGGTAAAATAACTACAAAGTGGAGTAGAGAGAAGATTGGGAGTAAAAATAAGGGTGAAAACACCAATGTCAATCTCAAGATTATGTAGCCACACTCAATAGAATCTAAAGCTATTCAATGTAGAAAGTCAACCTGGCCAAGGGTAAGAAACACAGAAACAATATTCTTCAGTAATTGTCTATTGTCCAAGAAACAGTATCATCAGCTCATTATGTTATCCCATTAGCTAACAGTATATATGATATGTATTCCTCTAAATTAATAAAAAGGTTCCAGAAATATGAAAGGCCATTGTGCAGGAGACTTGCTTTTTCAATGAGGAGCGAACAAGAGAACATGTGTTTAAATGTCAGCACTAAGAGTTTAGGTTAGCTAGAATAACAAACTTCTTGCCAATCGGGTAATATTTACCCAAGGGTGGGTATCTAAAGTGTTCTTTAGTACTTGGATTTAAACAATAAGTTTTGTTTTCATCCTCTCCCATTCATTTAGCTGTGAAACAGACAATAAATTACAGTTCAAGCTACCAAATATCTTGTACATTATTTACAAGTCTGAACTTCCTAACTGAGCAAGCCCTAAACTTTCTACCATGACTAGATTCATCATTCCTGTCACTCAGCACAATGGTATTGATATGGGCATTGAGGCCTGTTACATGCAGATTTGTACCCAGCTTCATCTCTTAGTAGAGACATGTCCTTGAATTACTCTGCATATGCACAGTAATAATGAAATGACACATGAATAAAACACCTCAGAGACACTCTAAATGGGACAGCTATTAGTTTCAGATATTTATTTTAAAATATGTATTATTGTGTTTCAGTGCCAGGCACAGTGCTAGATAGTGGACACACATACACACATTCTCTCTCTCTCTCTCAGTCCACAGAGTAAATCAAGCTATCAACTTGAGAATCATTCTTGCCTTCCACATCTGATCACCACTACCACTAACAATAAAAGCAAATAAGACCCCTTCATAACTGTGGGCAATCTGTTTTATCTGCCAGTGGTCGGCCCAAATCTTGCCAGTGTCATAAACAAGTGAATAGCTGCCCAAGTTGTTACCTACCCTGGAGTATTCCACCTCTTTTGCCTTTTTGAATTAATTTTCTCTTTTTCTGGCAATGGCTGCCCTAATTCATGTCTTTTTATCATTTCTTTCCTGAGTTACTGCTACAGCCTTCTGAACAGTTCCCTGACTTGAGCTTTATTTCTATGATTATCTTTTTAAATTATAAATTGTGCCATGCCACTCCCTGCTTACAAACCTCCAGGACTTCTCAAAGACTTTATGAAAAAACTCTGTTCCTTAACATGTCACAACAAACCCTATATGATACGTAGCTTGATTCACATTCTAACTTTACTTTCCTGATGTGACTTTTAATATCCACCTGTGTCATAATCTTTCCATTTCCTCAACTTGCTGTGTTGTTTCACATGTTCACATATTTTCTGCCCCTTTCCTCCATACGTATCTCCTAATTCCTCTTAATAAATACTTTATCATGACAGACACTTACCAGATTGCAATACATGTATTCGTTCACATGTTGGCTTCCTCCCTACCTGACTGCGAATTCCTGAAAAGTATTAACATGTTACTCATTTCTGTTTCCACTAAACAGGCACACAATGGCATGCTGTGTTTGAAAAATGTTAAATGAATCCATGAGCATTAGAAGTTATTATTTCAGTTAATCTACCTTGTCAATGAGGTTTTAAAATCCTTTCTATAGAATAGGGATGGATCTTTAGGGGGACTCTTGGTCAATTAGGCCCCATTTCCTTCCTCCCTGGACCTTGTTTTCATTGAAGAAACAAGCATTGGATTCCGAACTCGTAAGAAAGGATTCTAGAAGTTCTAGAATCACACTTAGACTTATTTAAAATTCCCACCCTCTGAGGGTTCCCTGTGTTTTTAAGAAGTGTACAATCTACCATGTCAGTCCAGAAATTGCAGTGAAGCCAGAGGTGGAAGCCTACAGCAGTCTATACAGCAAGCTAATTAATCATTTATTGACAACTACAATTGTTCAAATGACCTGAATGTCCTGGACCATTTGTCTATTCATCATTCAGCAACTATTGATTGGCATCTGTGTCATCCTACACATTGCAAATTCAGTAAGGAACAAATAGGTTAGTTTATATTGACTGAGTATTTATTATGATATACTTTTTTTTTCCTTCAAATACATTTTTGATGTTTGAGCAGCCCATAAAGAGGGCTATATTTGCAATGAGTAGTTCTCACTCTCCTGGATCTTCTTCACATAACTTCTGTTTCTGTGTTCACTTCCTACCCTCCATCATTTTCTGTGTTGCTACCCATCTCATATGCAGCCTGCACTGACCATTGACAAATAAAGGAAAAAATTATCATTGCTTTCTAAATATGCACAGACACTTATATAGCCTGGTGTTGCTCATTCACTATATGATGGTGCTTTGAGATTACAAATTCATATGCTGAGTGAGTTTCCATGGTAAGGCTGACAAACTGAAAAAATCAGTAACTTTGAATCAATCAAAGTCATGAAAAGTTAAGGGCCGGGCATGGTGGCTCACGCCTGTAATCCAGCACTTTGGGAGGCCGAGGTAGGCAGATCACCTGAGGTCAGGAGTTTGAGACCAGCCTGGCCAACATGGTGAAACCTCGTCTCTACTAAAAATAAAAAAATTATCCAGTCCTTCCTGGCAGGTGCCTGTAATCCCAGCTACTCAGGAGGCTGAGGCAGGAGAATAGCTTGAACCCGGAGGTGGAGGTTGCAGTGAGCCGAGATCGCGCCATTGCACTCCAGCCTGCGCAGCAAGATTGAAACTCCGTCTCAAAAAAAAGAAAAAAAAAGTTAAGATAGATCTTTTTCTGAACAGTTGATTGACATTCATAGACTAGATATTGAGCATGTATATTTCATTATCCAAATGTAATCAAAAGGTCCTTGAAGATATTTCACTTATTTACAACATTTTCAGCACGCAGCATATCTTATATAGTCCTCCTTGCCCATACCATGAGTGCCATAAAAATTTGTTGACTTGCACTTGTAAACAATGAAAATCTTTTTAGTTAAGAGCACCAAATAGCTCTGGATAAATTGGGAAATAAATATCATTTTTCTGTTTTTAAAGACCACAAGAAAATTTAAACATATTCATTAACTAAAATTTAAATATTTATAAACTTTATAAATAACAACTTAAAAATTAAAATCACTGCCATTAGCAATCAAGAAATCAGTAATTATAAAAGTTGTATTTATTTATCATATGGTAGAAAGAGTTTTAGAATAACACGGAACCGAGTTTTCATTCAGCTTCTGCTCAATATTTTTTTCATGAAAATGAAAAAGTTAACACTGCCACAGCCTGTTTTTAATATGCAATACAGGGATAAGAGTTCCTATCTAATAGATTGTTATGAAGAATAAAGTAGTGGGTATAAGGTACCCTAAATTGGCATAGAGTAGATATTTAAAGTAGTTTTTAAAAACAATATAATAAATTTTTGTTTATTTTGACTTCTTTTTTTGGGGGGGAGAAGAGAAAAAAACATTACTTGGTAACTTCAAAATATGTTACCTATCCTGAGCTTTATTAAATACTAAGTTAGAATAAGAGATGTATACATAATTTTCTCCTTTCATTGTCTTTTCTTTTTTTTTTTTAAGGAATAGTAGGCATTGTGAGGCTACCTGATGGTATCTTAAAATGTGAATTATAATTCCAATTCTAACACTTGGTCCTTTGTATCTTAGAAAGTGATTTTTGATGATGTGACTGGAATTTCACTAGATTTTTACTAAAAAAAACAATGCCCACCAAAGCCTGTATCGACTCCTGTAAAGCTTTGACTATTTACTGAACCATGATGATCCCACCTTTAGGAAAGGCTTCAGGGCATTCCTGTGGCTTACTTGGAAATCAATAAAACACCAGAGGCCTAACAGTAAATATCCTTGAACTAAGGTTCCTAAAATGTCACAGAGTCTGCATTATTTATTATCTGGCTTCAATGCGCTGTGGACACAACCTAAACTTGACTTTTCCTGCCTGCAGCTTATGACACTGCTCAAGGACAATGAGATCTTTTAGGCTTTGAAACTTTGCTGCTGTCAGAATAAAGTTTACAGAGTGATTATTAGTTTTCAAATAAAATCTTCCTTCAGGACAAGTATTCTCAAGGAGGTAAGAGGGTCAAAGACCAACGCTTGTCAGATGTTATTTCTACAAAGTCACCTGAATTCCTGGATATGCCTAAGTCCCAAGTCACACAGTTACAACTCTCTCTAACACACACATATGCATTCACTCATTTCACAAGTATTCATTGAGCCCTTACCATGTGCTAAACACCATTCTAACCATTTGGCATATATTAATTAACAAAACAGACAACATTTCTTGCCTTCATGGTGTTCACATCCCAGTTTGTGGTAGGGGTAACATGGGACAAGAGGGAGACGGAAATAAACAATACACATAACCATACTGTAGGTTTTATCTTTCTCTGAGCCAGTCCTGCCCATTTCTGTCTCCATTCATTTGCATTTGTTTTTCTCTCTGTCTGGACTGCCTCCCTTGTCACACTGTTAGACTGAAGTCAAATGTCACCTCCTCTGTGAAGCAGGTGCTAGCTCTCCTCGGGACCTCATGCAGCTTTATGCATAGCCCTTTTATGCCATTTCTCAGATTGTCTTCTTATTGGCAGATATCTGTCCCTCCCATTAGAGGAGGAACCTAGACAGGAACCTGGCAAGGACTAATTCTTAGTAAGTACTGTATTGCCAGGGCCACTGACCAGAGAGCAAAAGAGAGTAGCACTCTCAATAAGTGTTCATTTAAGAAGTGAATGCAGTTTTATGCTACATAAGGAAAATAAAGATTAATTGTGAGATTAGTTGTGATTAGGATGTTTCTTTGCATACCATCCACAACAAAGTCTGAATAATTCATATATTTAAGAAATAGTTTACTTTAAATAGAACTATTTTATGTGAAGTACATTAGCATTATTTACTGAAAGCTGATTCAGCAGGCATGGTAATTCAAAAGATAACTTTTAATTAGTTGATACAAATAGCCTTGATAGAAATACCAGTTTTATAACTTGATTATCTTTTAATATGATAGCTTCATCTGTGCTATAATCTGCACTTATATTTGAATAAATTGAGGGCTATAGTTAAGAGATTTATTTCCTTCAACCTTCTAATTATCACAAGAAAATTAAATTACTGCATTATTTAAGAGGGAAGTCTTAGCTATCTGACTAATTCACTGTGATTGGCACAACAGAGCTTGCTTTGGGTAGCTGTGATCTCAGGCAGGGAATGTTCCAAGAGTGGATGGACCTGCAGATTTTAGGCGATGCCTAGCCCCCATGCTGTGTTAGATCTGTGGTTTTGTAGGCGGGGTTCTCTCAAGACACTATCCGTTAGATTAGCTGCCTGCTTCTTGCCAGTCGACCTCCAACCTTGGAATTTTCCCATCTGTCTTCAGCGTGGGAAATCTTGCCTTTGTTGAGTCAACTATGCAATCAAAGAGGAAGCTGCATTTCTGACAGGGAGGAAGGTCTTAGGAGCAAGCTAACATCCCTTCCTGAAATCAGCTCTCAGGTCAATTTTAGGTCTACTGAACTGATAGCCTGAGCCATCTGCCTTTAACCAGCTTCTAAGTACTAAATAGCTTTTAAACTGAATAAGAATGTGTCCTTTATCAATCTTTTTTTCTCCTAAAAAATCTTTTGCATGACATTTCATGGAAATAATCTCATTAACAGAAAGAGTTTGTTTTTCTGTCCCAAATTTGAGGCAAGTGCACCACACTTATTTTGTACCCTCCTAATACATAGTTCCATGCTAAAGAGAGCAAATATGTGATGATTCATACAAGACTGACTTTTAAGTGTGTGTTCTGCTGGAGCAGGATGTATGCAGTTCTATTATATAGCATAGAGAGGAAGAAGTAATGTCATTCTTCAAATGTTACATACATTGTCCTCACCAAAGTAGACAGTACAGGCATTTCACTCACACTGCACGTGCTAAGGCTCACATCTCAAGAGAAGAAAAATGTCCACGGTGCCCAAAAAAGAATACTTTTTTTAAAGTCTTAAATGTTTATAAATAAAAAAGTTGTTGATTGGAATGAAGTTTTCCGCTGTCTGTATCTATCAGGGACTAACAGTCAGAGATAATATATTTGGATTTGTCCAAGTGTTACTATTTTACCGGTTTTATTTTCATCACAGGGACCTGGTCTCAGGCACAATTTTTCTCATACTGGCTTAGATAATTAAAGCAATGAGTCTTCTTTTAGCTAACAAAATATTCTTCACAACAGAACTACACATAGGACTGTAACCTAATGGTTGTCAAAATGAGCTCTTGCAGAGTCTGAAACTTGGCTTCTTCTCAGTGTTTGGCAGTGACAAATACACTCTGTTGGGCTCCATGGATTTTCAACTAGTTCAATAAAGAAGTATTTACTGGTTTCTGGAAATGTTTACACATCTATAATTTAGCTTCTAATATAATTGCCTTGGTAGGTGATATGGTTTGGCTCTGTGCCCCCACACAAATCTCATCTAGAATTGTAATCCAAATTGTAATTCTTATGTGTTGAGGGAGGGACCAGGTGGGAGGTGATTGGATCATAGGGGCAGGTTCCTCCATGCTGTTCTGGTGATAGTGAGGGACAGCTCATGAGATTTGATGGTTTAAGCGTGACACCTCCTCCCTCTCTCTCTCCTGCCATCATGTAAGACGCGCCTTGCTTCCCCTTCATCTTCTGCCATGATTGTAAGTTTCCTGAGGCCTCCTAGCCTTGCTTCCTGTTTAGCCTGTGGAACTGCGAGTAAATCAAATCTCTTTTCTTTATAAATTACCCAGTCTCAGGTAGTTTGTTGTTGTTGTTGTTGTTGTTGTTGTTGTTGTTGTTGCTTTTTTTGAGATGGAGTCTGGCTCTGTCACACAGGCTGGAGTGCAATCTCGGCTCACTGCAACCTCCACCTCCCAGGTTCAAGTCATTCTCCTGCCTCAGCCTCCTGAGTAGCTGGGATTACAGGCATGTGCCACCACGCCTGGCTAATTTTTGTATTTCTAGTAGAGATGGGGTTTCACCATGTTGGTCAGGCTGGTCTCGAACTCCTGACCTTGTGATCCGCCCGCCTCGGCCTCCTAAAGTGCTGGGATTACAGGTATGAGCCACCACACCTGGCCAAGGTAGTTCTTTATAGCAGTGTGAGAATGGATGAATATAGTAGGCAACACTGTTTTAGGTTAAGCCCATACATAATTCCACCTACTAAATTTACTAAATGTAAGTGTGCCTTGCTTTAGAGAATCATGTAGTACAAAATGAATACATATAACACAAATAAATTAAGAAGTAGTTTTACTATAAACATAATTCTTCTCTTTGCTCAAGGATTTCCCCTAGAGTTCATAAAATTTAGCTCCCCTACTGCATTTAAGTGATCGTTAACCTATAATTAATTGACGTGGTGTAATTGAAAATGTAGAGTTCCATTTTATTTTCTCACCTGAATTCACCATTAGCTGTAGTTCAGCAGGAAAAAATTTGTAGGTAAAGTAACTTAAAAAAGTAAAGTTGGGTGCAGTGGCTGACACCTGTAATCTCAGCACTTTGGGAGGCCAAGGCAGGCAGACTGCTTGAGCCCAGGAGTTTGAGACCAGCCTGAGTAACACAGCAAAAACCCATCTCTACCAAAAATATGAAAATTAGCCAGGTGTGGTGACACAAGCCCGTGGCTCCTGCTACTCAGGAGGCTGAGGTGGGAGGATTGCTTTGAGCCCAAGAGGTGGAGGTTGCAGTGAGCAGTGATCAAACCACTGTAGTCCAGCCTGGGTGACACAGCAAGACTCTGCATCAAAAAACAAACCAACAAACAAAAAAACCCAAGTAAGTCAAATTAGCTCAACTGGAGAAAATAAAAAGTTATTCTTAACTCTTAGTGAGTTACATAAAAACAGATAAATCTTAATCAGGTAGAGGGCTTATAAGGATACTCTAGGCAGGCTTCCAAGCCTTCAGCTGTTGAATCTTGAAAACATTTTACCACTTAACAATTCAACAGTTTAATTGTGATGTTCCATTTTGATCACTGCAAATTGCCATATAAGAGTAGTCCAAGCCATTGGGCCACCTCAAAGACTATAGGTAAATTCAAATAGACTCTTGCGGGTTTAGCAGCACTTGCTTGAGTTTTTTCCTCTTAAAATAGAATACAATTCGATTTCAATGGAAGCACCCTTAGCTTCTATGGGAAACACCCTGACCAGTTTCTGACTCCAGGTTGGCCCCATATTTTGGCTTATGCCCGTCTCTGCTTTAATATCTTTATGGTCCCTCACAGCTTTCAGGAGAAAGTTGAAGTTCTCTTGAGGGCTTATCCAGCCCTATTGCCTTTTCAGCGTTGTCACAAGCAATCATTTTCCTTCTCGTGTCTTAGAACATCAATAGTTATTCTCCAGGATGAGTCATGCTATGCTATATTATGCCTGGAAAGTCTTCCTTCTGATTTTCGTTTACTTATGGCCTACTTATCCATCAAAATTCTGATTATGGGTCACCTCCTTTACCCCCAATCTGATACAGGTGTATCCATGTGCCCAAAGAAGACTGTATACACACCAATAATTGTTTTAACATGCTGATTTATAATCATTCATTTATTTGGGGGTTCACTCTATCTGATAATTATACAACTTCAGATTCCAGAAGCCAGCACAGTACCTGGTACATAGAAAGTACTAAGTACATACCAAAAAGATGAGTGAATCAACCATTTCAATGGATAAGTGTAATTTTTAAAAGTTCCTTTAAACATCATATTATAACTGAAAGGATCTGGATTTCCAAAAAAAGAGCTTGCCAACTTATACATAATACATAATGTGAAGATGAGGAGATGAAAAAAGGAAAGAAGCTGATATTTACTAAATTAATTCTTTTAAAAATTTCTCAACATCACTAATCATCAGAAAAATGCAAACAAAAACTATGATGAGCTACCATCTTACAATAGTCAGAATTACTATCATCAACACATCAAAAAACAATACTTCTGATGAGGCTGCAGAGAAAAGGGAACACTTATATATTGTTGGTAAGAATGTAAATTAGGTCAGCCACTGTGGAAAGCAGTTTGGAAATTTCTCAAAGATCTTAAAACAAAACTATCATTCAATCCAGCAATCCCATTACTGGGCATATACCCAAAGGAAAATAAATTGTTCTACCAAAAAGACACATCCATTCATATGTTCATCACAGCACTATTCACAATAGCAAAGACATAGAATCACCATAGGTGCCCATTCACAGTGAATTGGATAAAGAAAATGTGGTACATATACACCACGGAATACTATGCAGCCATAAGAAAAAATGAAGTCATGTCCTTTGCGGCAATATGGATGCAGCTGGAGGCCATCATCCTAAGTGAATTAATGCAGGAACAGAAAAGCAAATACCTCATGTTCTCACTTATAAGTGGGAGCTAAACATTGCATACACATGGACACAAAGACAGGAATAATAAACACCGTAGACTCCAAAAGCAGGGGATAAGGGTAGAGCTGGAAAACAACCCATTAGGTACTATACTCATTACCTGCATGATGGGATCAATCGTACTCCAAACCTCAGCATCACACAATATACGAGTGTAACAAACCTGCACATATACTCCCTGAATCTTAAACAGAAGTTGAAATTTTTTAAAAAGAAAGCTAGAATTTGCTGAGTTAATTCTTTGGACAAGGTCCTGCGCTAA
This sequence comes from Homo sapiens, assembly GCF_000001405.40. Taxonomy (NCBI): domain Eukaryota; kingdom Metazoa; phylum Chordata; class Mammalia; order Primates; family Hominidae; genus Homo; species Homo sapiens. The sequence goes on along the minus strand of NC_000001.11, from coordinate 66,171,896 downwards.
GTACTTTTACATCTCATTTAAACACCACAATGAGTCACATATCAATTTTTTTTATATTTCATTCTCAATACAAGTTTAGTTTTTATTGAGTGCTTCATATGTGCCAGGAACTATGCTGGGTGCTTCATATTACATCACAATCTTCACAATATTTCAAGGGAAGCATTATAAACTCATTTACACACAAGAAAATTAAAGCTCAGGCCTGCTTGAGGTTATATAGCTGGTAAACAAGCTGTAATTTTCAACAGTATTGATCTGGTTCTCTAGGCAGTGTTTGTTTCACTGAAGCAACATCACACCACCCAGGCTGTTCCAGAGGTCCACTGAGATATTAATAGGCACTTCACCTCCAAAAAGAGTTTTGTGATCAGATAAATTTAAATAATTTTTCCCTTTTTAATATATTCTTTTTAAAGAAAATTACAATGACATTAGTTATATATCAAAAGTCTGAAAGCCAACAAGAACCTTCTTAACTGTCTAACCCCATGTTTTCTAGTTTCAAGGAAATGCTTCCTTTTATATTTTGTTACAGAAGACTAATATTCCATCCCATAAAGTACATGACTGCCTTCAACTTAAGTTATTAAAATGGGAAGAAAAGATTTCATTTTCGACCCAATTACTCAAAATCCTCTTTTGAATTCCACTTTTTATGGGAATAGTAAAAATTCTAAATTCCTTTTCCTTGAATGTCTCTGATATTTTCTACCAATCCTAGAAAAAAAAATGTGAGCAGGCAAAATTGTGGACTGATTTATGAGAATTAATTATGTTCAAAATTAAGAGTAAGTAACTCTAACTCTTAATTAAGAGTGCTTTGCTTTTCTGATTTACTCATCAACACCACCCGAAAGTATCATGCCAGGTAGGCACTGCACACAAAAATTATGCCAGCCACGATTTCTGCTCTCCAAAAAGCCTTGACATTCAGAGCAGTTCAAAGTTTAATCTCCAAACAAGCAATGCTCCTATTTAAAATGTATGGCCATACTCCTCTGCTTTGTTATACATGTAAACCTGGTACTATAATATTACAAAAGGGTAAATCAGTTTAAAAACTACACAAATTATTGCTTGGTTCTAGTTTGTGATACCCTTTGCATTCCACCACCCATAATTCCATGTTTTTGCTGTGTTAATCTTCAAAATGGAGACACAGTTCATGGACACCAGAAATATTTTAAGCAATATGAACTATTTTAAATCTCTCTGATAGCTCTAAAAAGAGGATAAAAGACATACTCATCAACTATTCATTAGCCACACAAAAATATATATCTAGGAGTAGTTAGAAAATCTTTACAATTTGTCATAACTGCTCATTATCTTCTATTTCTTTTAGTAAGAATCCAACAGGGAAAAGCTTTTTTAAAATAGTCATATTTAAATTTCAAGTAGACAAAAATAAATATCATTCACAGATGGTAGCCTGACCTGAGGAAACAGATAATTTATTCTTACAGAAAAACTCCACTCAATTCACAAGCTACTCCTATAATTTTTGAAAAGGTAAGGAAATTTTAATGTGTAAATGTACTCAATGCATTTTTCCTAAAAATCATATAATTTTGCAAAGCATAGTATTTTCCCTAAACATTTTATTTAAAATTTCTCATTATTCAGTGTTTTTAAATATAACACCATCTCCCAGCTTCATTCCTGAACTGTCAGATAAAATTTGATGTTCATAGCATCACCAACACCTACCATATCCACGAATGTTGTTGAGGAACTAATGTGCAACATCCTGAAAAGCTGGTACGCTATTCATATCCCACACCTAGGGACTTAGTTCATTTTCATTATCTTCCCTGTGTTCTTGCTGCTACATAATTATTACTTAACTCTTTGTCCTTTTATTTTTCTTTCTGATGGCATGCCACTTACTATTGCAGAGTAAATATAATTTTCTATATAAATACAAATGACTTAACAATCAACATGTAAGCATTCAACAGGAACATTGTCAATAGTTTGCTTAAGAAATCAGTGAGAAAATCAATCTGTAGCCAAATCTGAATGATAGCTTCCCATGATGCGTGTAGGATTTTTTCCAATATGCCTCCAAAAAAGAAATAATTTGAGTTTCCCAAATTGCAGAAATATCTCCCTTTAAACAGTATCCTCTGTTTTCATTCTCATGTTGCATTTTCTCCTCTGTTCCTGGTGATATGTCAGCATGTTCTGGAGTTTCTTTTAGCCAAAGTTCACAGTGATCTGATTAATCAAATACAATTCTCTCCCCTTCTCTGGTTTGCATTGCATTTGGAGCTATCCAACCTCCTGTCTGACTCGTTCTGCGTTGTTTAGCTCATTCAGTGCACCATGAGAGAACACCTAACACACGGGGTCAGATTTCCTGAATGACATATGTGAGACCACAACAAAGGCGAAAACCCTGGAGAGATTATAGGTCTTTTTCATCACAGAAGATTAGAGAGCAAAGAAAATATCTATGTTACACAAAGAAATAACAGTGTGACTGGAATAATGAATTCAACTTTCAGATTTGGTGCCAACTCCCCTGACTGCTCTAAGCATGCTGGTGTATATTTAAACTTTCACCGCTGGCCCAGGAAGACTGGCCTCTAAGCAGATACAATAGCACTTAAAGGCCACTGAAATCACAATTAACCCGACACAACAGTATTAGGTTCAAAGATCCTCTGATCCCTGAAGAACTGATGGCATTTCCCAGAGTGACAAATTATACTCCAAAGGCATTCAACAGAGAGGACAAGGGTCCTGGCATTCTGGATTTCTGAGTAAAATGTAGATGACTCATACTGAAAAAGATTGGTTTGCAATCAAATGAGAAGGCATGTTTGAATGGTCTCCCCTTTGTCTGTTTTTCAGGGCACAGTGTCATTTATCTTCCTTCTGGATGCTGATAATCCTGCATTTTAGTTGGATCTGTGTTCCTGGAAGGGATGCCTTATTTCCTTATTTCAGATTTGCCTCATAACTCATCTTCTTGACCTCACAATGTCTCAGAGAAGCTGACCTCAGGACAGGACTCATTTTGTGCAATAGTAGGAACAGGTGTAAAAAATAATACAGGTACACAGATGGTCGAAACTTAATTGTGAAAAACAGTTTCTAACTGGACTTCCTCTTATGCCCTTGTCCTGCTACAGTTTATTTTCAAAATAGCATCTAAGATAACTCTTTAGAAATGTAACTCAGGTCACACATCGTTAACCAGCTGAACATCTTCCAGTTGGCCTCCCTTCTATTCACAATGACAGCCAAAGTTCTTACAACGGTCTCCAAGACGGTAGGTACGGTCCTCATTCCTCATTCTCCCCATTCCCCACACTGCTGAAGCCACAGTGACCCTTTGTGGTTACTACACCATGCCAGGCATGCTCCTGCCTCTGGAATTTTTCAGTGGCTTTTCTCTCTGCCTCATGTGCTCTTACCCAGTTTGCTCCATAGCTCACTCCCACACTTACTCAGTCCTTGTTCAAATGTCACCTCGTTATCAAGGTCTTGTCTGACCACCCTACCACAACAGCACTCTCTTTATTTTGCTTTTTTTTTCTCACAACATCACTGTCTAATATACCATATATTTATTATATGTATCATCTGTACCCTTGCACTAGAATGTGACTCCAGGAGAAAGAGGATTTCTGTATTTTTTCACTGCTTTATTGTCAGTGCCTACTGTAGTGCCTAACACAAAGTAGGAACTCAATAAATATTTGTTGAAAAATGAATTAATTTATAAATGAATAAAAGCAAATGCCAGTCTGGAGGTTTTCAGCTAATGAGAAAGAAGATAGTTGGTCTAGTTCATAATAAATAGAAGTGATTTTCATGAAAATAATATTTTGGGTCAGAGTGAATGTTCAAGGTAACTCTCTTACAGGAAAAGGCTTTATTTTCTCAGGTTGTTTGGAGAGTAATATAATTTTTGAGAAGGACTGAACAGAAAAGAGAGAGGCATTGGTGCATATGTTACATTTAATCTAATCTGGCAATACAATGACTTTTGAGAATGCTACTAAAGTATTGTTTTTAGATTATGAAGAAAATATAAAATTAGCAAAGATGATCTAGGAATATTGGATAAGGAGAATTTTAAAGATGACATGTGGCTAATTCACCACATGATTCACGCTAATTTACCACCATAACCACAGGGAGAGACTTTGCTTGTACTCTTGAAAATGGAAAGGAAGTAACCTATTTTCTTTTTCACTTCCATAGAAATATCAAAATGCTTAAGTTCCCTTTTAAATAACTGCTTTATTAAGATACAATTCATATGCTGTAAAATTTACATTTATAAAATGTCCAATTCAATGGTTTTTAATATATTCACAGTTTACAACCATCACCACTATCACCCCATGTTCATCACCCCAAAAGGAAACTCCATTTCCATTTACTCCTAACTAACAGGGAGTGGCCCATTCTGAATATTTCATGTTAATTGAATCACACATTGCATGGGTTCTTTCACTTAAAGTTTTAAAAATTCATTCATTTTGTAGCATATATCAGTACTTTATTGCTTTTTACTACCAAAATAAATTCTATTGTACTCATATATCACATTTTGTTTATGTTGATTGTCATTGAGTTGTTTCTACTTTTTAGCTATTATGTATGAATAATACTTTTATGAATACTCATGTACAGGTTTTTGCATGAATTTATGTGATCATTTTTCTGGTATATAAACATAGGTGTAAACTTGCTGGGTCATGTTGTACTTTATGTTTAACATTTTGAGAAACTGGCAAACTTTTCCAATATGGTCACACCATTTTACAATCCCACCAGAAATGTATGAGAGTTCCAATTTCCCTACATTCTCTCCAGCATTTGTTATCGGCTGTCTTATTGACCATAGCCATCCTAGTGGGTGTGAAGCAATATCTCATTGTGGTTTTGATTTGCATTTTCCTAATGACTAATGGTATGACAGTCTACTTTCATATGATCATTGTCCATTTGTGTTTCTTCTTTGGAGAAATGCCTATTCAAATCCTTTGCCCATTTGTTAGTTACGGTCTGTGGCTTTTTGTTGTTGAATTGTAAGTATTCTTTGTGTATTCTAGAAACATGTCCCTTATCAGATACATGATTAACAAATATTTTCTCCCATTCGGTGGGTTGTCCTTTCACTTTTTTTTTTTTTTTTTTGAGACAGAGTCTTGCTCTATTGCCCAGGCTGGAGTGCAGTGGCACCATCTCAGCTCACTGCAATTTCCACCTCCTGGGTTCAAGCTAGTCTCCTGCCTCAGCCTCCTGAGTAGCTTAGATTACAGGTGCACGCCACCATGCCCGGCTAACTTTTTTATTTTTAGTAGAGGTGGGGTTTCACCATGTTGGTCAGGCTTGTCTCTAACTCCTGACCTCGTGATCTGCCCACCTCGGCCTCCCAAAGCGTTGGAATTGCAGGTGTGAGCCAACCCGCCCAGCCCCCTTTCACTGTTTTAATAGCGTCCTTGGAAGAACAAAAAGTTTTTCACTTTAATGAAATCCATTTCATCTATTTTTTCTTTGTCATTTATGTAATTGGTGTCATAGCTAAGAAACCATTGACTAACCCTAGGTCATGAATATTTACTCCTGTGTTTTCTTATTAGATTGTTATGCTTTTAGCTCTTACTTTTAGATCTATGATTCACTTTGGTTAGTTTTTGTACATGGAGTAAATTAGAAGTCCAATTCCATTCTTTTGCATGTGGATATCCAGTTGTCTCTGTATTATTTGTTGAAAAGGCGATTCCCCCACTCCCCCATTGAATTGCCTTGGCATCTTGGTCAAAAATAGATTGATTATACAGGCATAGATTTATTTCTAGCCTCTCAATTCTATTCTATTAATCTGTATATGTCTACCTTATGTCAGTACTATACTACCATTTTAGTAAATTTTTAAATTGGAAAGTGTGAATCCTCCAATTTCTTTTTTTTTTTTCCCCTCAAGGTTTGATTTGTTTTTTATAGGTCCCTTGCATTTCCATATGAATCCTAGGATCAGCTTGTCAATTTCTCCAAAAAAAAGAAAGCAACTGGAATTTTGATAAGGATTATTTTGAATCTGTAAACGAATCTGGGGAGTAATACCATCTTAAAATTTGAGTCTTCCAATCCACTAACATAGGACGTTCTTCTATTTATTTAGGTCTTCCTTAATTATTCTTCACCATGTTTTGTAGTTTTCAGCATAAAAGTCTTGCACTGCCTTGGCAAATTTATTTTTAAATATTTTATTCTTTTTGATGCTATTATAAAGGGAATTATTTTTTTAATTTTCAAATTATTCATTGCTATTATATAGAATTACAATTGATTTGTATGTATTGATCTTATATCCTGCCACCTTGCTGAACTCTCATTTATTAGTTTTTTTTTAGTTTGTGTATGTGTGTACTTCTTAGAATTGTCTCTATAAAAATTATATTATCTGCACAATTAAGTTCTTTTACGATGAATTTTATTTAGCTCACTAAAATTAAAGGAGGAAAAATGCATTTCTTTGAGTTTCCTGAGAGAAATCCATTGCCCCTCAGATAATAGTCTTAGAAAAAATAATGAACTGCAATTTGCATCTCTTATCAAATTCTACCATGTTAATATTAAAATAATCATAGTATTAATAACAATAGCTATTATAAATACCAGAAACCATACTTTTCAAACTTTACATTACTTAATCTTCCCAACAATTCTCTGAAGTATGAAAAATTTTTATTCTCATTTTATAACAGAAAGTGAGCCTAAGAAGGATTGCATGACTTGTCCAAGGAAATGGTTAATTAGATATAGCAGCAGTGCAGGAATTCAAATGTAAGTTATAGAAATTAAGTGGCCAGGCGTGGTGGCTTACCCCTGTAATCCCAGCACTTTGGGAGGCCAAGGCAGGCAGATCTCAAGGTCAGGAGATCGAGACCATCCTGGCTAACACAGTGAAACCCCGTCTCTACTAAAAATACAAAAATTAGCCAGGCGTGGTGGTGGGCACCTGTAGTCCCAGCTACTCGGGAGGCTGAGGCAGGAGAATGGCATGAACCCGGGAGGTGGAGCTTGCTTGCAGTAAGCTGAGATTGCGCGCCACTGCACTCCAGCCTGGGTGACAGAGCGAGACTCTGTCTCAAAAAAAAAAAAAAAAAAAGAAAAGAAAAGAAAAAGAAAAAGAAATTAAGTCTGAGAGACAGAGCGTGCTCAAAGTAACTCATACAGAATATCCAGAGTCAGGGCTCGAATTTAAGTTCTTAGACTCTATATTTCAAATGCATTATGCCCTACTGCCTATAATAGAGATCGCTGGTCTTTTCTTTCTTTCTTTCTTTTTCTTTCTTTCTTTCTTTTTTTTTTTTTTTTTTTTTTTTTTTGAGACGGAGTCTCTCTCTGTTGTCCAGGCTGGAGTGCAGTGGCACAGTCTTGGCTCACTGCAACCTCAGCCACCCGGGTTCAAGCAATTCTCCTGCCTCAGCCTCCCGAGTAGCTGAGATTACAGGCACCTGCCACCACGCCGGGCTATTTTTTTGTATTTTTAGTAGAGATGGGGTTTCACCATGTTGGCCAGGCTGGTTTCGAACTCCTGACCTTGTGATCCACCCACCTTGGCCTCCCAAAGCACTGGATTACAGGTGTAAGCCACTGTGCCCGGCCTGATTGCTGGTCTTTTCATAAGAGATGAACCACCAGTAGTAGTAATTTCTTGGGTTGGGGAAAAAAGAACACACATACGAAATATATTACTCTAGGATTATGTCTGCAAATGGCTCTCTTTTTGCTATCTACTAAAGCATGTCTTGTTGATGGAGTAAATTTTGGTTTCTAGCTGAGAGGGCTGGGTAACATCAGGAAATAATGGAAAAAGTCTATGGCAGGGACTTGCATACTTATAGACAAATGCACCACAAGACTTGTTTTTAAAGCTCACTAGAGGAAAAACAACAAGGAATAAATGTTATCTGAGAGTACAAATGCACATAGGCTGTCCATCAACAGCTAACATGATAAAAGACACCAAAACAACCTCACCTAAGCAGGCAGCTTCACTTAGCAGTAAGTCACACACCAGTACCAGGTGAAGATCTTCTATAGGGTGGTGCTGAAAATCTGAAGTGTGATGGGAAGCTGGGCAGCTGTTAAATACTTAAACAGGCAGCACTTATTTTATTTCACTAATTTTTAACCTCACTAACTTTAAATGACATTTTAAAAATTATTTCACTCAACAATTTTACATGCTAAAACATGACTGTTTTGTTAAGGTATATTATAATAAATGTGTCTCTAGACAATATCTTATGGACTAAAACATTTGAAAATTTATTTCTAAGCAATTTCTTTACATGAGTAATTCTTTAATATGAAAAATAAGAATCTATACTATTGACTTAGAAATCATAAGAGATACAAAAATAATATAATGGTTATGTAATATTATAATACAAATAATTATAAGAGATTAATAGTACTAATAATTACTTTTATACATTATTATAGAGTTCCTAAAGTGTTTTCACATATATCATTGCATTTAATCCCCATCACAATCTTCTGAGAAAAGTACCCTTATCTTCATTTAATAGATAAGAGACTAAATATACAGACGTCAGATTTAATTTCAACAAACATCAGTGTATGGGATGTGATGCAAGGTATTGCCCCCTGTGCAATCCTACCTACCAGTAAATCTTATTGGTCACTCACAACATCTTTTGAGGAAGGTATTGTTAATTCCATTCTGCAGGTGAGTCTCGGGAAGAATTAGATTAGATTACTGTAGCTAGTAAGAGGCGGGGAAAGGAGTTGAGCACACTTCTTTGGAGTCTAAGGCTAATCTCTTACAGTAAGAAACATTATGACAAATCTAGAAGGATGGTAGCATTATTACCCTGATTTAGGATATTGGAAAACTGAACTAAAAGAAGCTCAGTAGCCTTTCCATGACCACAGTAGAACTATTTGCCTTCAAGTAATAAAAGTTGACTTGGGTCTTCTGTTTCTTACAGTCAAAAACACAATTGATAATTAATTGATCCATTATTGTAACAACTGATAGTACTTAACTCACTCCTCAGTTTATCAAACGTCCAGCACCACCTCATTCATACACTATGACCAGAAGCAAGTACAGATGAAGCATCTCAAATCCAAAAACCGCAATTCTGAAATGCTCCAAAATCTGAAACATTTTGGGTGCCAACATGATGCACAAAAGAAAGGCTCATTGGAGCATTTTGAGCTTCAGATTTTTAAATTTGGCATGCTCAACAAGTAAGTATATGCAAATATTCCAATACCTGAAAAAAAATCCAAAATCTGAAACACTTCTGGTCCCAAGCATTTCAGATAAGGGATACTCAACCTGCATAGGCTGGGCATCAAGCTGAGATCTGTAGTCATGGAACAGAGAGAAGCTGGCTGGCTTACCCAAGATCTGATGCACTCTCTCACAGAGTTTACCTGCTCTGTTGGACACCAGTCCCAAATGAGAGCATCACAGGAGTATGGAATTGACTCTTTCCCTTCGCTGGAAGTCACAGATTAGATGCTATATGTGAATGGGTCACCAGAATAGCAAAAAAAAAAAAAAAAAAAAAAAAAAAAGAGAAGTCCATGAACCTTACCACCAAAGGGCCTATGAAATCACAAGTCTTGTCCCTCTGCATTAGTTTTTAATTAGGGATAAAGTGAGGAGGGAGAACATCCCTAGAGCCTCAGGGCACCTTAGCACTGACCACGTTACACTATAAAAGTTTCACTGAATATTTGGAGCTTCCGTAGATCCTCAGATAATCAACATCAAATAGGTGACTTTTTTTTTTCTGCAATCAAGAGCACTTGAATTAAAACTAGCACCATTCAGTGAGCACCTACTCTACACTGATGAGTGCTAAGGGCTTCATATAGTTGCTTATTTAATACTTACTAAAAGTTTATAATTTGGCTATTATTGCCTTCATTTTAAAGATAATAGAACAAAGGATCCAAGAGATTAAGTCACCTGCTTAAAGTCACAAAGCTGGTAGGTGAATTTGAGATTTCAACCCAGACATGTTTGGTTGTAAATCCCTTGCTCTTTGCATTATCTGAAGTCAGAGTAGAGTATCAATGGGGTAAGTGACTTATTCTGGGATATACTTATTAGCTCTGCCTTATCCTGGGACACACAGCTAGGAAGTGTGTCCCAGGATGTCATTTGTTCCATAGACCCTCAGTGTCTTCATCTTTAAATGCAAATAATAATAGAGCTTCTGTGATGATGAAAGACAAGCAGGAGAAATATAAATAATAATAATAATAACCTTATAGGTTTGGTACATAACTTAAATAATTTACATAGGTAATTTGCATTAAAACATCTCGTAAGCAATACAATATCATATCAATATGAACTTAAAAATAATTAGAGCACCTGTGGAAAAAGACGCTCTTAAAAAGTGAACCAATTTTCTTTTACAAAGAATTGAGTATTAAACCAGAAATGCATTTAGGGTAAGATTATTCTGATACTTCAGACTGAGTGAGTATCAAAAGCTGACAAAGGGGACAATTTCTTAGCACCCTTTCTGAGAATACATTAAAAAGAAAACAAAAAGACCATTGTGTGTGATTGTGTGTGTGTGTGTGTGTGTTCAGGTTTGACGCCTGTACCTGTTTGTGCATGTCGGTGCTGAAACAGGCTTCACTGTACTAATTTTACCTTCAGCATAATCATCTATATCGCTGCTGATGTTCTGTAGGAGTTGTTAGATGCCCAATTTGAATGCCAAAGGAAGGTGCTTATAGCAACCAATCCAAAATAATGCGTTTTCAAGATTTAGGGTTGTATGCTACAATTTTCAAGGAAAAAAAAAATGCCTTTCATCTTCCAGAAGACTGGTTGTTTCTGGGTATTTTAAAATTTCTTCCTGACAATGCACACATGTCTTTTAGGATAGGAGTCTGATCTGGAAATAATAAGATACTGATGTTCTGAGAGTGCCACTCTAGAGTTATTGCTGGAGGGCTGGAAGCCAACTTGGCTCATGATCATGAAGTCTGATAGAGGCACCTCCTTTTGTTTTCACATTTAAATAAATCCTAGAGGCACAGTCAGTATAATTAGATCTTCAGAGGCACTAAGAATCTATTTGATTTTAGACAACTTTCCATGAGAAACAAAATTCAGAGGTCATAGATTTCAACTTGGCCATTTTACAAATAAAGAAACAAGCAAGGACGTGTGTGAGGACACTTAGATATCTTTTTATTCTTGTAACTACATTAGATGCTTGTCTACATTTAAAAAAAAACAAATAGATTGGGTCACATATTTAACTATCTGCTGAGTGCGACCCTTTCAGAGGTGTAAAAAGAATGGCAATGTAATGCACTGGACAGAGCAGAAGGTTATTAGAACCCACAGACCTGAATTTAATCTCATGTAGCCACGTAACTGGTAAAAAGTGATTTAACTTTTTATGCGTTGGGGGTTGCATCCATAGAAAGGAGATATAATTTACTGCACTATGTAGAGCTCCTGCAATTGCAAGTGTCAAATAGCCAATTAAATAGACATAAGCAAATGAGGAAGCCATTGGTTCATATAAAGAAGCAATTGAAAGGATTGAAAGGGTAGAGGCAGCGCCAACCTCAAAGAAGACAGAAAGGATTCAAACACCTTTGGGTCTCTTGTTTCTGGTCTGTCTCTATTCTCCATATACCTGGTAAATTCTCTCAGTCCTACTCCTCTACACCGTGGGACATTGGCATGGGTTATGCCTTATGGTATTGTGATCAGAGGGCACAATTTTCCCCTTTTAACACCCACTGTAAAAATCCTGTGTGAGGACTCTATTTGGTTCATTCTTGGTCCCAGACAACTCCTCTGGCCAGCAGGCAAGAGCTGTATGTAAAGTCCCTATTAAAACATCCAGCATGTGAATGGGAAGAGTCATTTCCTAGAAGAGGGAGGAGGCTATTCCAGATTGACAAAACTATAAATGTCTACTACAAACACCTAATTCAGGAACTTAAAGATCAAATAAGATAACAGACTTAAAATGCTGGGCACACAGTAGGTGCACAATAAATGGCAGCTGCTCTATTCTCTGTAAATTTTGAAGCAATTTCAAATGCTTCCCAGGAAAGTGTAGGGAACACTTAATTCATGGCCTATAAAGACAGGGAATATTAGAGCTTTTACGTTATTTCTACAGGAATAAAAGACACTACCCCAGTATGCGAGGATTTGAGGCACCAGGCAAAACCCTCAAGATTACTCAAGCCCATGTCGAAAATCCTATTATCTATAGCACTTTACAAACAGATTGTCTGAAGTGGCTTTTTAATACTTGAATTTTCTCTCCTTTTTAAAAAAGTTTTATTTTGGCCAGGTGTGGTGGCTCATGCCTGTAATCCCAACACTTTGGGAGGCCAAGGCAGGTGAGAGGTCAGGAGTTTGAGACTAGCCTGGCCAACATGGTGAAACCCCTTCTGTACTAAAAATACAAAAAAAAAAAAAATAGCTGGGCGTGGTGGCACACCACCTGTAGTCCCTGCTACCTGGGAGGCTGAGGCATGAGAATTGCTTGAACCTGGGAGGCAAAGCAGTGAGCCAAGAATGCGCCACTACACTCCAGCCTGGGCAACAGAGTGAGGCTCTTTCTCAAAAAAAAAAAAAAAGTTTTATTTTATTTATAAATGACCTCTAATAACTGTGCATATTTATGGGGTAAGTGTGATGTTCCAATACATGTACACATTATGTAATGATCAAATCAGGGTAATTATCACATTCACCACTTAAAACATTTATCATTCTTTGTGGTGATAACTTTCAAAATTCTCTCTCGTAGCTATCTTGAAATATACAATACATTTTTATTACGTGTCACCTTATTGTGTAATAGAACATCAGAACTTGTTCTTCCTAACTGTAAGTTTGTACCCTTTTGCTAACTTCTCTCCATCTTCCTTTACCCACTACCCTTCTCAGCATCTGGTAACCACTATTCTAATCTCTACTTTTATGAGATCATCTTTTTTAGATTCCACAAATGAGTGAGATCATGCAGTATTTGTCTTTCTGTGCCTAGCTTATTTCACTTAACATAATGTCCTCCAAGTTCAACCACGTTGCCACAAATGACAGGATTTCATTTTGTGTTATGATTGGATAGTATTCCGTTGTGTATATATGCCATGTTTGCTGTATTCATTTACCCACTGATAGGCACTTAGTTTGATTCCGTATTTTGGCTATTGTGAATAATGCGGCAATAAACATGGGAGTGACAATATCTCTTTGACATACTGATTTTCTTTGAATATATAACTAGTAGTGGGATTGCTGGATAATATGGTACTTCTAGTTTTAGTTTTTTGAGGAAACTCTTTACTATTTTCCAGAATGGCTGTACTAATTTACATTCTTACCAACAGTATATGAGTTCCCCTTTCTCTACTGGAGTGTGGTTTTGATTTGCATTTCCCTGACAATTAGTGATGTTGAATATTTTTTTGACATACCTGTCACTCATTTACATGTCTATTCAGGTCTTTTGCCCATTTTGAAATAGCATTGCTTGTTCTTTTGCTGGATATTAACCCCTTGTCAGGTGCACAGTTTGCAAGTTACCTTTTCTCATCCTATAGGTTATCTCCTCACTCTTGATTGTTTCTGTTGCTGTGCAGTAGCTTTTAAGTTTGGTGTAATACCATTGTGTTTTCTCTGCTGCCCTTTTAAGTTTCACTGGGTCAAAAGTTTAAAATTTGTGAATTCCTATATTTTTAGGGCAATTCTCCTGCCACTGTTGGAATTATGCCTCAATCTATGCAGTAGAATATTAGTGTGAAATGCTTCTGTACCAATGGAGATGATGCTGATGTCTCTATCATAAACCCATACCTCATCAACACAAACTGCAATTACACAAGTGCTCTAATATCATGTATCTCCATTTATCCAAAAGAATCTGAAATCATGTTCTCAAAATACTTCCTCAGAATATGCTAGAGATATCAAAAAATATGAAAAGATGATCACTTTTTACATGGGCTTTGATCATGAAAAAAAAACACTTGACTTCTAGTTAAAAGGTTTATATTTAAATCTCATTCTTTCATTCAATATCTATTTGTTGGACACCTACAATATTATAGCACTGTTCTAGATGTTGGGAATACAGGAGAAAACAAACCTCTTGGAATTATATTCCACTGAGAGAAAGAGAGATCATAAATAATTAAGCAAATATATACTATATTGACCAGTAAGGGAATAAGGAAAATAAAGAGGGTTAAGGGACAAAAAGCTGTAGGATGAGGAAGAGAGATTACCTTTGAGTAGAATCAGAAGGAGTTGAGGGAATGAATTATGAGAAGGTCTGGTAGAGGAAAATTCTAGACAGAGCCAGTAAATGCAAATACCTTAAGGTAGAACTAAGTTTGAACAGAAAGGTAGGGCCCAGGTCATGAAGGTCTATAAGTTCTAGAAAAAACTGGGTTTTCATCAGAATGTAAAGGGAATACCACTGGATCATTTGAAAGTATCACTTTGGCTGCACTGCAAAAGGAGCTAGAAAGGAAGTGAAGAACCAAGTTAAAAAGCTGTTCCAGAAGTCTAAGTGACAATAAAGGTGGCTTTCTCTAGGTTGGCAGAGGTGTAGGTAGTAATAACTAGTCAGATTCTAGGGACGTGTGGACAGACAAGATGCTGCGAATGAGAAAAGAGAGGACTTAGGGATGACATCTACATTTTCAGCTAGGGCGGCATCTGTGCATGAATTTAGCACCACTTGCTGAGAAGGGGAGCACTGGCATTACAGCAGGGTCCTCCAGGGTTCAGTTTTAGGATTGTAAGTTTGAGATGCCTATCTAAAGAGAGTTAAGAAGGCTGTTGGCTACACAAGTTTAGAGCTCAAGGGAGAGAACTGGGTTGAAGATAGAAATTGGGAGCCATCAGCTTTCAAATCATGTTGAAAACTAGGGTCTGGTTGAGATCACCTTGGGAGTAAGAGAGACAATAACTGAGGAGCGGGACCATTAAAAGTGTGGAGGAGCAAAACCCAGTGAGGTAGGTGGGAAACCAGTGAAATATACTGTGTCTGAAGCCAAGTGAAGAAGAGTGTTTCCAGGAGGAGAGAGTGAATAGACACGATGGGCATTCCTAATGACCTTGATAAAAGCAATTTCAGTGAAGTTGTGGGAACAAAAACCAGATCTGACTTGACTGACGCAAGAATGTTAGGTGAGAAAGTCAAGATAATGAACATAGACAACTCTTGGGCTTTGCTGTAAAAGAAAGAAGATATACAGGTTTGTTTGTTTTTTTTTTCTGATGGGGAATGTGGAGTCTAAGGATGGAGATATTAGAGAATGCTTACCCAGTGAAGATAATGGTCCAATGTAGATTGAAAAATTGAGTTTAAATAGGATAATAAATGTGAGTATACTTTGTAAATTAAAAAATGCTCAACAAGTGTCAGGTGTTTGATTTTGATCTAAATGAGCATTCACTGTCTAACCTTTCTCAACAATGTCTCACAAAACATTGTATCATGTCCCTATTATAAATATTTATGATGACATCATAAACACTCTCCTACTTCTTGTTTGTGTGCAACTTATAAGAGTTGCTTTGTTAGCCACAATAATAGCTATTGAGACCGAAAAAGGATTAAATTGTTCATGTACCAATGAACTCACCCTTTTAGGTTCCTTTCACTCACTCATTCCTAATGAATCTGAAGCCAGATAAAACCACAAATGCCACTTTTTAATCCACTCTAACAAAAATATATCAAATGTTTACTATATTAAGGTAATATTAGGTTTTGTGATATTTACACTTTAGTTAGGATAATAACATTTAGACACTGAATCAACCTGTCTCTCAAGTTTATCTTTACTTCATCCCTTTTCTACTTCTCCTGATTCTGTCATGTGCCAAGTCAAGGGCATGGATTAACATTGGTTTTGTAGAAGCATAAAGTACAAGAAATCAGGCAGGGGTCAGAAATAAAAACAGAAGCAGGTAGTAAAACATCCTTATGTGAATTTAGATGATAAATGTCAGTAATGATTTTAAGCAGGGAATATCATGGTTTGATTCATGTGTTGGAAAGAGAACTCATTTGAAGTTAGATTAGATGAGGGCAAGTTAGAAGGAAAGTAATCAGTTAGAAATTAATATCACTAGGGCAGATTTGTGTTTTCTCATGATGGTATTGCCAGTACCTAGCACAAATCTTGGCATTCTATAGGTACTATATATAGCATATATGTGTATATATAGATATATACACATGTATATATAAATATGTATATATAAAAAATAAATAATCTAGTGGTTACAAATGATAGGTAACAATATAAAATCAGCTCTAGATTATGTTAGGGCAAATGAACCAATTTATTGATTGACCTTGCTAAAAATTAATTTTAAGAACATATTTCTGGAAAGATTAAAATAAGTATGAACCATGGGGTATCTACGTGGAGGCATATATTTTTGAATCTGAAATCATGAGGCAGTGAGTGTCTGGGGCAGCCATGATGGGTCCTGTGAAGTTGTGAGGGAGCAGAAATTGTAGGTAGGCAGAAGACACGAGGAAAGAGAAGAGACATATAGGGAAAGAGGAGCAAGAGGAAAATGGAATGAGTCTGTGGAGGGAAGGAGAGCAGAAGAAAGAGCTCATTCAGCTAATGAGAGAAAAACAGAAAATAGCTGACTCCAAAGGCACCTTGGCTTCCATCTTGATTTCAGCTCCAATCTATATGTAACTTTCTTTTTTTCCAGAGACAGAGTTTCACTCCTGTTTCCCAGGCAGGAGTGCAGTGGCAGGATCAGAGCTCACTGCAGACTCAACCTCCCGGGCTCAAGAGATCCTCCTGCCTTATTTTCTTATTTTTTGTAGAGATGAGGTGTCACTATGTTGCTCAGGCTGGTCTCAAATTCCTGGGCTCAAGCATTCCTCGCGCCTCAGCCTCCCAAAGTGCAAGATTACACACTGTGCCAGCCTACATGCAATTTTATAGTTCCCATCCTATTACTTGAGGAAATTTTTGCAGGTCTGCATTCTGCAACCACAAGGGGCTTGGAAAAAGCACTTTTTGGATATCTTTACAAGCATATTCCTTGAGCAAAGGCAAAGGTGTAGCGAATGGAAGAGACAGGCATGAGAAGAGGTTTGTGTTCTCAATCCATGCAGAAGGAAAAGATATTTGAAAGCATTTTTGCTTTTGTAATTGGAGCATGTGTAGCCACCTTTCCACTTGACAAAATGCTTCTGGAAAAACCCCTGCCAGCTGATGGTACTTCAGATCATGTATTGCAAAACAAAAGAAAACAGCATGTTTAATTCACAAGGCATTTTATCCATGAATGAAACCAAAAAGTGGACAACAGACAGCAGGATCAAGGACGGCCCTAGGCACAGAAGTGATTTCCCGAGAGTCCCTTTTTTCCTATCTCTCTTCTCTTCTCTTTGCCCTTCAATTCTCTTTTATCAAGCCTGTCCCCTACATATGCTCATGGGTCATTCTATCAAAGAAGAAGGGTAAACAGGTATATCTTCATGGAGAACCGCCTGGTCATTCCAGGAATCTTACAGAACATTCCACGGTGTGTTTGGCACTGTGCTCTATGTTCAGATTACAGAGATGAAAAACAGTTTTCCCCTTTAAGAGCTCAGTCTGGTGGAGGAGCTCAGGTAAGCAATAAACAGATAAGAATTAGAGGATAAAACATCTCTGCTGTAACAGGCACGAGGTGCTATTGGGACCAAGGGGAGGAGCTCTTAACTCCTTTGTGTGGTGGGAGTCTTTCAGGGAGAGCAATTTAGCTGCCTTAAAGGAGAAAGGGAAGATAAAAAGGTAAAGAAAGAAGGGAAAAGAATTTTAAAAAGTTAATGTAGGCATTTAGTAATTCCTCCCAGGTGCATTTAGAGATAGGATAATTCTGAACCCAGATGAATGAATCACAAATGATGGTATATCAGGCATCTTAGCAACAGAGATATTTTTGGATCAGCGAACCTCCTTGATGCCCCTCAGGTCACATCACACACACTACTCCTCTATAAGTCTTGTGAGGACAGACCTTTCCAGCCCACTACAAGCCTGCTGTCTGGTCTGGCTAATGTCTGTATGTAGGAGTATTGAGGTAAGGAGATACTAAAAGGAAAGTGACTGCACTTCTACAGCCAGAATTAATTCAGTTCAATGAGTTCTTGTGGACACCTACGGTTGACTTATCTGCCTTCCGCACTGGGCTATAAAGTCTCAGAGTGCTGGAAACTTGTCTAATTAATCTTCATATTCCTGAGAAGCTAGCACAGCACAGGGCACAGAAAAAGAATAAAGATTGCCATATGAATGGAAGCTCTATACCCTTTTGGGAACAAAGACATTAAAATAAAACAAGACAAAACAAAACAAAAAAACCCATGAGGTTCTTGACCCCCCTCAGGTTACAAGGGAGAGGGGATGGTTGCCATGAATACATTTACAAATAATGCAAAGCAGAGCAAGGAGGCTTTACTTCAAGGACATCTGTTGGGGGTTCAAGAGAGGAAGAGACGATATTTAAACCAGAAAGCAGCCAAGGTTTGGGAAGGAAAATGACATTTGCACAGGATCCAAGAGATGAGAGTAGGAATTTGACAACTGGGTTGGACACTGGGAGGAGAGAGAATCTAGAGTAGGGATGGAGAAAACAGCAAAGGCACCAAAAGGCAGAGAACTGCAGGGCTTCTTCAGAGCAGCTTTGCAATCTGGTGTGGGGCATGAGAAGTCATGGAAAATACAAGGTGGGAGAGGGAAGCATGTTCCATGTGTCAAAGGACCTTGTGATGATTAGTTCTATGTATCAACTTGGCTAGGCTATAGTACTCACTTATTTAATCAAACAATAATCTGTATGTTGCTGCAAAGATGTTTTGTAGATGTGGTTAACATCTACAATCAGCTGACTTTATGTTAAGGAGATTACTCTCAATAATGCATGTGGGGTCTCCTGCTCAGCTGAAGACCTTAAGAGCAAAAACACATTTCCCAGAGAAGAAGAAATTCTGCCTCAAGACTCTAGCACTGACATCTGCTTAAGTTTCCAGTCTGCTAGCCTAACCTATTAATTTCAGACTCAAGACTACAACATTGACTCCCGACTGAGTTTCTAGTCTGTTGGCTTGCCCTACAAATTTTGGACTTGCCAGATCCCACAACTATGTGAGCTGGTTCCTTACAATAAACTTCTTAGTGTGTGTGTGTGTGTGTGTGTGTGTGTGTGTGTGTATACACATATATAAATATATATATGTGTATACACACACACACACATATATATGCACACACTTAATCATATATATATTTTATATATATGTACATATACATACCTCATCAGTTCTGTTTCTCTGGAGAACCATGACTGATACTGGCTTCCAATGCTGTGTTAAAAAGTACAGACCTTGCATAGGTGGTGGTGTGCTGCTGCTGCCACAGCCAGTGCTGCCACCCTGCCTGCTCATCTTCATCTTGTGACAGAGGGAGAATTTAAGAAACATTAAATCTTCTCCTGTCTTTGGGGATCCTACAATGCTCCTGAGTTTTCCATATTATAAAGCATTTAAGTAAACAGCACTGGGAATTGCTTCCAGATACAGAGAACAAAGCTTGTCATTGAAAAGCTTCTAAAATGGATTTACCCTCCCCTAGCATCAAGCAGTGCTGTTATTATGATCACTAGAATTCTCAAACACAGCTCTGTTACACCAAAAATCTTCAAGTGTAATTATGTATCAAAACATAACAGAATTGTTTTTGTATTTTCTTAAAAGATGTCATCTAAACAGATTTTTATCATTTCTATTTTTTACAGCTACTTTGAGGTTTTTATGGTGTCTTTTTACTGAAGAGTTCAAAATGTGCTACTGACATTATAATATTAATTTATCATTCAGTCGAGTTAACTTCAATGAGTGTTTCTCAGTGTTGCACTAGGTGCTATAAGAAACATAGAGAAGTACAATAACATCTCAGCTCTCCAAAATGCTGGGGAGAGCCTCATTCTGGATAGCCAGGTTTATTCATTAGCTCAACAATTATTTATTGAGTGTCTACTATGTGACAGGCACTCTGGAAGATCGGAAATAAAGAGATGAATCAAATATGGTGCCTGCCATCAAAAGACTTACAATAGGTGAGAAACAGACAGATTAACAAAAAGTACCCAGATTGTTAGACATTCTTCACTGGTGTTTTATTTAGGTGACACTCAAGGTGAGTTTTAAACCACAGATAGGAATTTTTCAGCCTCACAAGACAGAGGCAGACAGGGAGAAGAAACGAATAAAGGCATAGTTCATTCTGGGGAGTAAGAGCTTCATGAACAAAGTCATGAAATAAGAGCAGCCTTATTTCTGGGAATTTGAATATAATGGTTGATTGAGATTTTGTCAGACTTAACACAATGCCTGGAAGAGAGTAACTATTATTATCATGAGTTCAGCATGGAAGATGCTTAAAGTGTGAGAGAAATAGTGACAGGAGATGAATGAAGCTGGAGGGGTTCAGCAAGTTCCACATTAGGAAGAGCCATTAACCAGACTAATGAGATTAAATTTTAACATGTAGGCAATGGGGAGTCACTTCAGCTTCAGCTGCTTTTGCTTTCTAATTGCTCCTTAAAAAAGTTCTATTACATTTTACTGTTCTCTTTGCCTGTAAGTCCTTTGTTCCACGAAACACCCAACAATGAAAAGTTCAAACCCACATGGCTTTACTGGTGAATTATATCCAACATTTAAAGAAGTAACGCAAATCCTTATAAAATCTATTTTTTCAACAAATAAAAGAAGAGGAAACACTTTCCAACTCATTATCTGAGGTCAGTACTACTTTGATAGTAAAATCAGGTGAAGACATCACAAGGAAAGAAAAATACAGGCTAACATCCAGTATGAATATTGATATAAAAATTCCTCAACAAAATTCTAGCGAATTGGATACAGCAGCATATAAAAGCATTAGACACCATGGTCAAGTGGGATTTAACCCAGGAATCCAAGGTTGGTTTAACATACGAAAGTTAATTAATGTAATAGACCATAATTACAAATTAAAGAATAAAAGCCACATGATTATTTCAATAGACAGAGTAAAAGCATATAACAAATTCCACATCCTTTCATGAAAAAATACCTAACAAAGTAGGGATATAATGGAATTTCTGCAATCCGATGAAAGACATCTATGAAAAACCCACAGCCACTATCATATTTAACAGTGAAAGACTGGGTGCTTTCCCCTATAATGAGGGACAAAACGAGGCTGTCTGCTCTTGCCACATCTTTTCAACATTATATTGAAGATTCTAGTCAGTACAATTAGGCAAGAAAAAGAAATAAAAGGCATTATCGTTGGAAAGGAAGAGGTAAAACAATTTATATTTGGAGATGTCATAATCTTGTAAATAGAAAATCCTAAGGAATCTGATAGAAAAATATTAGTGCTAATAAATGACTTCAGTAAGGTTGCAGGACAAAAGATCAACATATAAAAATCAATTTTATTTCCATATGTTAGCAATGAATAATGTGAAAACGATCTTCAGAGCCAGTGCAATGCCTGACACAATTCCATTGGCCCTTTTTTTTTCTTTCAGAAATTGAAAAGCTGATTCCAGAATTCTTATGGGGTTACAAAGGCCCCTAAATAGCCAACACCATCTTGAAAAAGAACAAAGTTGTAGGATTTACTATTCCTGATTTCAAAGTCTTAGTTATAAGACAGTGTGATACTAGCATAAGGATATACATAGAGATCAATGGAATGGGAATTGAGAGTCCAGATATAAACTCACACATGTATGGCCAATTAATTTTCTACAAGGGTTCCACAACAATTTAATGGGGAAAGAACAGTCTTTTCAACAAATGGTGAGGAGATAACTGGCTACCCACATAACAAAGAATGCAGTTGGACTCCTACCTTACAACATATTAAAAAATTATTTCAAAATTTATCAGAGTCCAAACTTTATTTTTCATTTTATTTATCTTATTTTATATATTTTTTGAGACAGGGTATTGCTGTGTCACCCAGACTGGAGTGCAGTGGCATAATCATAGCTTACTGCATCCTCAAACTCCTGGGATCAAGGGATGCTCCTGCCTCCGCCTACTGAGTAGCTAAGACTACAGGCATGTGCCACCACACCTGGATAATTTTTCACTTTTTTGGAGAGATAGGTCTCACTATGTTGCCCAGGCTGATCTCAAATTCCTGCCTTCAAGCTATCCTCCCATCTTGGCTTCCCAAAGTTCTGGGATTACTAGCACCCCAGCACCCCCAAACCTTAAGTTGCAGAAGAAAGCACAGGAGTAAATTCTCATAACCTTTTGTTAGGTAATGGTTTCTTAGAAGGGACACCAACAGCACAAGTGACAAAAGAAAAAAATGCAAATTTGACCACATCAAAATTAATGTGCTACAAATGATAATATCAAGGGAGTAAAAAGACAATCCATAGAATAGGAGAAAATATTTGCAAATTATATAATCAATAATCAGACATACTTGTGTCCAGAATATATAAATAACTCAATAGTTTAAAAATATAATAATTTAAATGGGGATTTAGATAGATGTTTCTCAAAAAAAATATAAACAGATGGCCATTAGCACATGAAAAGATACTCACCATCATCATTCAAGAGCAATGCATATTAAAACCACAATTGTATACCACTAACACTCACTAGGGTAGCTAAAATAACAAAGGCAAACAGTAAAAAGCATTGGCAAGGATGTGGAGATATCAGAATGCTCATTCATTGCTGAAGGGATTGAAAAACGGTACACCTTCTTTGGGAAAATTTGGCAATTCTTCAAAAGGTTAAACATAGTTACCATATGACCTAGCGATTTCTCTCCTAGTTATATACAAAAACTTGTGCATGGATGCTCATAACAGCATTGTTCATGATAGTCAAAAACTAGAAAGAACCCAAATGTTCATCAACTGATGAGTGGATAAACAAAATATGGTGTAGCCATACAATGGAATATTATCCAACAATAAAAAGGAATAAAGTACAGGTACATGCTACATGAATAAACCCTAAAAACATTATGCTAAATGAAAGAAGTCAATCACAAAAGATCACATACTGTAAGATTTCATTTTTTTGAAATATCCAGAATAGGCAAATCTGTAGAGACAGAAAATAGATTAGTATTGCCTAGGGCTAAGGATGGTGGTAGTAGAGAGTGAATGCTCATGGAGAGTGAATGTTAATAAAGGGTTTCTTAGGGGAGATACCCAAAAATTTTAAACTTAAATGTGGTTGATGATTGCACGATTCCATAAATATACTAAAAATAATTAAATTGTAAACATTACAAAGATAAATTTTATGCTTTGCAAATTATAAATCAATAAAGATGTTTAAAAAACAACAAACTATAGAAAGTAAGACATGGACATTATTGTGTGAAATAGAATCGGCATAGAAAGCTTTCAGCATCCTTCAAGAATAGACAGGATTTAGATAACAAGTGAGCAGATCATAGAAAATTCCTTGGGGAAGCTAGTGCAAATTCTTATGTTCCTAAGAATGTATTATTTTATTTATTTTATTATTATTATTATTATTTTAAAGACAGCATCTCACTCTATCACACAAGCTGAAGTGCAGTGGTGCAATCTGGGCTCACTGCAACCACTGCCTCTCAGGTTCAAGCAATTCTTGTGCCTCAGCCTCCCGAGTAGCTGAAATTACAGGTACTCACCACCAAGCTCGGCTAAGTTTTGTATTTTTAGTACACACAGGGTTTTGCCATGTTGGCCAGGCTGGTCTCAAACTCCTGACCTCAAGAATCCATCTATCTCCACCTCCCTAAGTGCTGGGATTACAGGCATAAGCCACCATGCCTGGCCCAAGAATGTATTCTTTTAATGATACAGATGAAATAGTGATGCCCCAAAGAAGAGAAAACATGTTTTCCTCATTTCTATTGTCTTTTTGCAAGACTTGGTAGGGTTTACTTGGGTACGTTCCAAATAATTAGTGCCTCAAGTGATAAAGTAATAGCAAATCATTAAAGACACCTGTTAGGACAGAGCTCCTTACAAGTCTGGCTTTCTCACTCTAGTTTCTCTTCCTGAGTGATTTAAAACATCTCCAAGTGGAGCTCCAAGAAGCAGAATAAAGTGGCTAAGAAACGCCCCACTGGAAGCACCCTATTACTGCCATCTATAATTTGCTCATTCCATTCTGAAGTCTGACTGAATCCAAGCAGACAAGAAGATTTACCAGATTTAGAAAATAGCTTTTACTCTGCACCAGGCATTTGAACCAGAAAAAGCAACTCAAAATGCATGGACTGTTTTTCCTCTCCCCTGAAATTGTGTGTTTATTAAGAGGAAACTGTGAGTGTGGGCATGTGGAAGGTAGCTGGTGTCATAGACAGTGCACTGTTGATGAATCACGGGACATGGTTCAGGTTCCCTTTCCCAATCCTGCCATCAGCTAACAGTGTTATCTTGGGCAAGTCAATATTGAACCTCAGTTTCATCCTTTGCAAAATGATAGTATTCCTGACCTTACGGGGCTGTTAGGTGGGCCAAATATGATAACGAATATTTATTAAGAATTAACTTAGGAAATATTTATTAGGAATTTACTTTTGCTTATAGCAATGGGAACACAAATAATTTGAAAATGGTCTTTGACTGACAAAGGTCACAGTCTCATGTGCAAGTGCTTTCTGAAGTATAATATATTGATCAAATATGTTATTTTTGCTTTTCTTCCACATGAATTGCTCCTCACTGCACAAAATTTTTCACTTGGATTTCACATGCTGTCAACCTATTTGAAGTCTATTGGCTGATTTATTAATGTAGTCATATATAAACCCTTGAGAGCATAGATCCACAAATTCAAAATGGGTTGAATTTCCAGGCCCTAGAGTTGCATACAGCTCATTAGAGAAGCTGTCCTTTGTCCTTTGTGTTTACCCATCATTTTTAGTGTGCAATAGGAACAAGAAAGTACAGATTTTTAAACATGGTCACTTTTAATGGAACACTAATTTTCCTCTACGGTACGTAGTTTAAAATAGGATTTGTGTCTTAAACAAATAATAGAATAGAAGCAAAATTTACATGAAATTTTAATATTTAACTTTGAGTCTTCAGAATAGCAAGCAGGCTCCCAAACAGTGTGATGCTTGAAATGTGGTGGACACATTTCAAATATCTATATCTTAGCTCAGAGTTGTGAGGTCTGACTCTGTGCATTTTTTATTGCACAACTTCAGGACCACCATTCACATAGATTCTGATTTGAACAGTGGAGTTGTGCAACAGTGGTAACTGTTTAGCTGCTCATCCAAGGGAAAAAGTCATGGTAGACTAAGTCCATAAAATCACACTGCCCAGGCCAGGCACGGTGGCTCACGCCTGTAATCCCAGCACTTTGGGAGGCCGAGATGGGCAGATCACAAGGTCAGGAGATTTGAGACCATCCTGGCTAACACTGTGAAACCCCATCTCCACTAAAAATACAAAAAAATAGCCAGGCATGGTGGCCGGCGCCTGTAGTCCCAGCTACTCGGGAGGCTGAGGCAGGAGAATGGCGTGAACCTGGGAGGCGGAGCTTGCAGTGAGCAGAGATTGCGCCACTGCACTCCAGTTTGGGGGACAGAGTGAGACTCCGTCTCAAAAAAAAAAAAAAAAAAAAAAAAAAAAGCATGCTACCCAGGCAATGGCCTTCTCCTAAACTTGTTCAGGATGAGTAGTGTTGATATATTTCTATTAGGCTGTGAACAGAAAAGAAGAAGAATATCTAACAGCAGATGTTAAAGGTTACTTCCAGAAGTGAGGGGTGGACTAGTTAACCTGTCAAATGCCTTCCTGTCCTGACTGACTTTTGTGAAGCGAAGCAAATATTGCAGTCATATAGCAGTCACACAATTCTCAAAACACACAGACACACACAAAATCTTAATAATAGCAGAGATCATTATTCAACATCAGGGCTGATACTATCACTTTGAGGAAATAATTAGGAGAAAAACACTACTTAGTATTTATCCAGAGAAGCACAACAATGCACTGTGGGAAGCAAAGCTGTAATGAACTGGCTGGAAAGGCACCTTCTTTGTTTTATCTCATACCACATTTCTTAAAGGACAAGCAATTAAGGCATAAAAGCTTTTGCGGAAATCACTTCCCATCATCTGAAGACCACAGGATTGCTACTTCAATAAAAAGCTCAGAAATGACTTGACCTCCAAAGTTCCCTGAGACTCAAGACTTCAAAACATAACTGCATTCATCATACAAAGATAAATGATGGGGTGCCCTTATCCCCAGAAAAGGCCTATGTTTTGGCTTTTGGAGCCCATAAGAGCCCATAGCACCTAAGGGTCAGTTATATACCTGGGAACTTTTATCCACCTATTTGTAAAGTCCAAATATCAGGGCAGAGAAATAGTAGCCTTGCCCACTGTTGCAACGCTCTCCAGCATTGCTAGTTATACTATCTACAAGGTTCTCTTGGACTCTAATACTATCAAATCTGCTTGGCTTCCTACTAATTAACCATCCATGTATTTTCTGCAGTTCCCTTAGGTGCCTGCACTGGAGAGCCTGCTCCTTGCCTATTTCCTTTTGCAGTGATACACAGCCTCCCAGAAAATTAAGGGCAAGCACCATGCCACCCTACTTTGTTTTCTCATCACCTTCCATGGTGTCTGTCATATAGGGGGTGATCAATAATGTTTGATGAATGTCTGGAAAGGAATAGGTTAATGCTGATATTAAATGTTTGTTTTAGAAGCTAGCAGTCAAGTTTGTAGATTGCTACTCACGGCCACCATAGGTTCATCAAGGCATAAAGAGATTCTATTTCACACATCAGTCCATTCTACTATTGTAAAAAGTTAGAATTTTGATGGGATGCAGTGGTTTTTAAAAGTGGAGATGGGAACTTTTGGAAGTGTATGAAAGTAGACTAGCCATCCATAACTGTCCACTGGTGGTATGTATGTGTCTCCCAAGAGAATACCTCTCCAGTTACTCAATTCATTTTCCTTTAGAAAGACACTAATTTTGTGCTCCTTTAACTCAAAGTCACTGGTGAAAAAGTACCATGGCCTCTTTTATTCCGCAGCACTAATGTACAGGTTGAATATCCCTTATCCTCCAAAAATGTTTGGGACCAGAAGTCTTTTGGAGCTCAGATTTTTGGAATAATTGCATTATACTTACCTGTTGAATGATTGAGCCTCCTTAATCTGAAAATCTAAGTCTAAATTCTCCAGTGAGCATTCCCTTTGAGTGTCATGTTAATGCTTAAAGTTTCTAACTTTGGATCATTTCGGATATTCACATTAGGGATGCTCAATTTGTATCAGTAACCAATTTACATTCCAAATCTTTGGTGCAGCTGGAAGAAAATAATTTATTCTCTACTAGAGTTTCAGGAATTTTTATAAATTTATAAATCACAGTTTTCAAATCCAAACTATTTATGATTAACTTTGACGCGCTTGTTTCTATTAGATCATGTGCTTCCTGAAGGGTCTCATCATATACCTTTTTGTATCCCTGGCATCCAGTAAAATGTCTGACACATAACAGTGGCACAATAAATAAATAAATATTTGTTTAATTGTTGAATGGATGGATGTAATAACGTGCAGTTCTTCAATGGAAAAAAACCTGGAACCGTTTGCACGGTACTGACTTGGGAAAATCTGGAAAGTTTTCCTTTCTCCCTCCTTGCAATTCTTAGGGCTTGTAACTTCCATTCAACTTTTCTGCTCAACTATTTTCACTTTTCCCCACAGGCCAACTATATCAGTAAGGATTCAATTTAGCTGCTCTAGCAGAAACCTGGTTACAGTGGTTTAAGCAAATAAGAAGTTTATTTTTCTCCCATAACAAGGAGTCTGGGGTAGGCAGACCTGAGTTATTGCAGATACTCAACCAAGCTCTTTATTTCTTCCTGCTCTAGGATCCTTAGCACAAGACATCTGCCCACAAGACATCTGCCATCGTGGTTACAAGATGGCTGCCCATTCCTACAAATCGAGTAGAAAGAAGGGTGCAGGGCAACATGAAAAAGGCAGATGTCAGCTGTGTCTTTCTCCTTTTCAAGAGGCTTTCAGAATGTCCTCTGCTTATATTTCAACTTCTGCTTATGTCTCAATGGCCTAAACTATGTTACATAGCCATCCCTTGCTACAAGGTAGTTCTGAGAAAATGGTGATTTTATGTTAAGCACATTGGCTTTCAAATTAGAATTAGAGTCCTGTTCATAAGGAGGTATGCCCAGCAGTGTCTGCTATTCCACTATATGGCATCACCTCCCACCCTAGAAGCACCCTGGCTGGCACAGCATCAAGGATCTTCTGACTTCACTGTCCTGTTCCAATTAACCAAAGCCCTATTAGTCTCATCTCTCTGCATTACTCCTTACTTCAACCGTGCTCAGATTGTTGCAGTGGATTCCAGATGTAACGCCTGATCCACCTACCATTCCCACGTTTCCATTTTCTACCTGCAAATATTGTCCCTATTGTCAAGTCTCCACTTAAACATTATCTACTCAATGAATCATCCTTACTTCCCCTGGCTAAAATGAATTCTGCATTTTGGTGTATAAATGGCTCATAATACAGTTAGTTGTGAATGAACCTGTTTCTCTCACTAGAAACAAAGACAAACCCTTGTCTTCACTTTTACTGCAGTTCAGTGTCTAGCAAAAGAGAAGTCCTTCATAAGCATCTTTTGAACTAAACTGATGCTCTTCTGATTCTTCCAGCATTTTCTGGGCTTCTTACTCTAATCAGCTGTGTGGCTCCTGTGCTATGGTCTTCGTACTGCATCTACAGCCTTTTATAAATGCCTGTTACAACACAGATGCGAAGCACAGATGCGAGCTGAACTGTTCTCTCTCCCTTAGCTTACTCTATATTACCCACCCATTCTCTGATGCTGGGAGAGAAATCTTCTGTGGAGACCTTTTCTGGTAGCTGAACTGAGTATTGAAGGAAACCTTCAACTGTTCTTTCTGACTAACTTTTTTTCTGAACTGAAGGCTGTAAGACACAAAATTACCAAATGTGGACAGATAACAAAAGATCAAAGCACCGACATTACAATATTATTAAATGAGAACATAATTGTGGCACTTCAAAAGGAATATAAAGCTTTTCCCATGATGCAAATGCTCTGTATGTAACACACAACAACTTTATTTCCTGTTCGTTTCTGGATTTTTCCATTCAAAAGAACTAGTCCAGAAGTTGTTTCCTCCTAACAGTAGGGTTATTTTTAAAGCAGGTGTTCTTGTAAATGAACTCTATTATGCTTGCTTTCTAACACTGCATTCTGTCAAAAAAATTTAAAAAAAAACCACTGTTAGTGTGTTGGCATACTGCAACAAAATTCAACTTCCTCCTATGATTTTCTTTATTAGAAAATATTTGCATACTGAATTCTTGGCAAAGGATTATAGGTTTCCTAATTTTGAAGTGAGCCAAGCAAAGCAACATGTAAACTGGCAGAAGTGACTTTAAATCTTTTAGCACTACTGTTGACTTTCTTAGAGGTTATGTAGAATTAAAGTTGACCCATGAACGATACAGGTTTAAAGCATACAGGTCCACTTATCCCAAATTTTCTTCTGCCTCTGCCACCCCTGAGACAGCAAGACCACCCCCTTCCTCTTCCTCCTCAACCTGCTCAACATGAAGATAACAAGGATGAAGACCTTTATGATGACCCTTTTCCACTTAATAAATAATAAGTATATTTTTTCTTCCTTGTGATTTTCTTAATAACATTTTCTTTAATCTAGTTTATTGTAAGAATACAGTCTATAATACATATACAAATATGTGTTAATTGAGTATGTTACCTGCGAGGCTTCTGAGCAACAGTAGGCTATTAGTAGTTAAGTTTGGTGGGGGGAATAAAAGTAATATTCGATTTGGAACTGTGCGAGGGTTCAGCACCCCTAATGCCTATGTTGTTCAAGAGTCAACTATGTTTCTACTCCCTTGCTGTTTTCATGATACCTCAGGTGCAGAATACATTGTGTTGGTGCCCTAGTTTGAAGAATGACCGACCTGGGAGGGAAGCCTATGTGACTTCAGGTAGCACTACTGAAGACTGTCCAGGAAAATGTTGTCATAAAGGAAACTGACCTAAGATGCCCTTCAGGTCCAGCCTTTCATAGGCCCGGCAAGTATTGTATGTATACTCTTCCCAGAGGCAAGAGCCCAGGAGGCTATAACTTTCTGAGGCTTTCTGAGGAGGCTTTCTGAGACTACTCCTCACTCTCTCTTCTTCCCTAACTCACTCTCCTTTCCTTCATATGTCCCCTCCACTAAACTGGAGGAATTCATCCAATCTGAGAAAATGCCAAAAGTATTAGAAACCTGAATAAACAAATTACTTCTATAAGACTTATTCACTAAAATAAAGTCATCTTCGGGAAACTTTGCTCAATTCTTTCTGCCCTAGTTTAAAGTAAGTTTCTTCATATATATATATATATATATATATATATATATATATATATTCTCAAAGCTTTCTATCTGCACTGCTGGCTGCCATTTACCACAATATACTGCTCCAAGTTTCCCTCAACCAATATTCTGAGAGCTCTCTGAATCCAGGGTACTGTGTCCTAGTAACCTTAGTATTCTCAGTGCTTAGGTAATGGCAGGGAGCACAGTAAGAGCTCAATAAATGTTTAATAAATGATTGAAGAGTAAATTTTCTAGGTATAGCTTATACTACACACATACACATACAAATGCATGTATAGACATACACACACATTTAGCTTTGTTTACATTGATATCTTTGACAACCAAAAACTAGAAAAATTCTGCATCTGCCAAAGAATGTGGAACTACTGTATTCAGACAGAGACCTAAAATGTTAATATGATGTTGTTAAATATATCTCACAAGCTTCAAAACAAAGATCTAAAATGTAAGTGGGTGGCAGAAGTAGGGAAACCAATTGCCACAAAGCTAATTTTCAAGAGAGCAAAAATGTATGTGAAATCATATTCCAAGTAGTAGAGCAATCTGTGAAACGCCTACTCCTCCCAATGAAAATGCATCCATATAAAAGATTTAACTGTAACTTTAATAGGCACACATATCACATTTAAGCACTGTCTTAAGTTAAATAATACCCTCTTATCCTCAAATATATCCACAGTCCCTGAAAGTCATGAGAATTTTTAAAAGATGAATATTTTTAAAGTTGGCTAAAATAAGCCTAAGGATTTCTATAAACAGCAGGAAAACAAGACTGATTTCTGTATTTTTGCATTATAAAACAATGCCATTTTTACTTTTTACTTTTTTTTGGTATAGTACAAATTGAGACATTTAACACATTCTGCAAGTTTTTCTTACATGATTCAAGAATCTTCAGTTCTTTTGACATTTAAATTATATTTTATGCTGCTTATGTAATGATGTGTCATTTTTTGCATTTAATTTGTAGTTGTAAAAGTTGCGTTGAGCCCTTTGTTTCCTGGTTCTTTACTTTAAATCCAAGAGGCTTTGCTGACCTTTCCTGGTTCCTGGCCCTCTCTGAGGCGGTTTCGAGTGGCTGGCCTTTCTGGATTTGCAAGATTGGCACTACACAGGAAGTGAGTGGCAGTTGGGGTAAATCCCGTGTTAACAAACCCTGCTTTCCACCCTTTGCATCATTTTTAATTGGGTGATAACAGTTTAAAACAAGCATCAAGAACAGCCATCAAAAGGAAAAAAAAAGGTCCCTCTTTTCAAGGCGTTTACTGCTCCATCCTGTGTTTGTGTACCTGTCATTTTCCCTAAGGCAAAAGCTAAGTTTGATTGCTTTGAATCTGCTTCAGTAGCTAGCATTCTGTCTTAAGTTGAGTCTAGTGGGATCACTGCCTTCATCACCATCACAGCAGCTACTATTTACTAAGTACCTCATATAGGTAAAGAATGGTCTAACGTCCAACATATACAATGGGATGCCTGATGAAAAATATTTCCTTTCAAAACATGTTCACCTCTTCTCTGACTAGAGCTGGAGAGTCAGCAGATACCTGGCTCTGGTGCAGATGTGGTTTTTGTATGTTTGGCCCATTGGTTGTTGTTTTTTGTTTTTTTTTTTTTTTTTGAGGGGGGAGGGGGAATTATTTAAGTGGCTATTCTGAGTAATGCTCCCTTGTTTCTAGGGGGATGGTAGAGTGGGCAGAAGGATCTCAGAAGATGCTGATCCCCTAATCCCTTAGAATTCATAGATATGTTACATTAAATGATAAAAGAGACTTTGCAGATACCATTAAGGTTACAGACCTTATGATAGGAAGACGATATTGGAATATCCTGATGGGCCCAATCTAATCCCATGAGCTCTTAAAGTAGAGAACATTCTCCTACTGGAGGGAGAGCGATGTGGAAAGCCCAGGAGATTTGAAGCATTAGAAGGGCGTGCCTTTGCTGGCTTGAAGATGGAGGGAACAATGGGATGAGGAAACTGGCCAGTATTAAGGAGCTAAGAGAGTTTCCTGGTTGGTTTTCGGCAAGAAAACAGGGACCTCAGCCCTACAGGCACAAGGAACTGAATTGTGCCAACAATCTTCATGAACTTAAAGCAACTTCATCCTTAGAACCTCCAGAAAGGAAGGCAGACATGCTGACACATTGATTTTGGCTTGGAGATTTCAAGCAGTTGAACCATGCTGTACTTGGACTTCTGATGAATAGAACCATGAGACAATAAGTGGTTGGTATTCTAAGCCACTTAATTTGTGGTAATTTGTAACATCAACAATAGAAAACAAATACAGAGGTTATAATTAGACCTTTTGGGTCCCAATATAAGCTGCCTTTCTCAGTATACCTTTGATATGTTGATAAAGTAGGGAGAAAACCAGCAAATTTTTATGGTGGTCAAAGAGCTTCCTTAGCTAAAAGGAAAAAGATCAAGGCCCTCTCCCACTTGGAGAGGTGTTTTTGGAGTTCAGTGTTAGTAGAACCTATCCCAGTGGCTGGAAAGGTTATAGCTTAGGTTTGCTGGCAATAAAAGTTCTAAGGGAAAACACTTGAAAGAAGGCAAAGTCCAGCTTGGTGATTTGGGTTTAATATAAAGGTCTAAAGTTTTATATATGTGCACATAAATGATAAGGCTGACTGGACTATTTCTCTTTGATCAACTAAATTCAACAAACACCTGTTAGCCATTAGTGTTGTATTAACAAAATGTATTAATCCTACCTGTCAGACAATCTAGTCCATCTGACATCTCTTTCCTGTATCTCTAAATGCCTAGTCATTTTGCAATTCATGATGGCCCATATTATTACTTTTCTTTTGAATCTGTAGATATGGAGTCTTGCTCGACCTTGCTTGGTTGCCCAGGCTGGAGTATAGTGGCATGATCTCGGCTCACTGCAACCTCCGCCTCCAGGGTTTAAGCCATTCTCCTGCCTCAGCCTCCCAAGTAGCTGGGATTACAGGTGCCCGCCACCATGCCCAGCAAATTTTTGTATTTTTAGTAGAGACGGGATTTCACCATGTTGGCCAGGCTCATCTCGAACTCCTGATCTCAGGTGATCCAACCACCTTGGCCTCCCAAAGTGTTGGGATTACAGGCGTGACCCACAGTGCCAGGCCATTACTTTTTCTGTAGTGTTATATCATCTGGCTTTTGATTGCTTTATTTGTTAAAACCAACCATGTTTTCCTTTTGCTTTCCCAAAAGAAGGTAAGTTCCTTGAGAGTAGAAACTACGTATATTGTAATGATTTAAACTGTGGGAACTGTAGCTAGACAAGCCTAGCTTTGTCATTTAATATCTGTGTTTAAGTCAGCTAACATCACTGGACTTCAGTTTCTTTCTCTATAATATGGAGACAAGAGTTCTCCAGCCTCATTACATTCATAAAATAATTACATTCATTTATAAGCATAAAATACTTAGAATAGTTCCTGATACATAATAAGTGCTCACTATAAATCAGCTACATATTTGATTTCCCAGAATAGCGTTTATCACAGTGACTAGAAGATATTAGATATTCAGTAAATGTTAAAGTTTGGTTATAAAAAGGAGAGGGGAAAGGTGATAAAGAATATATAAATTTACAACTCCTTTTGCAATTTTCTATTTTTACCTCTTATTCTTTGATGGGCCGATAAAGATGGAACATAAGAATTTCTTGAGACTGTCAAGTGCCAATAACCTGATGATCTGGGGACTCTTCATGCTGTCCAGACTCTAACATTAGCCACTAGGGTAGCCTCAAGCAAGCCACTTAAGTGTTCTGAATCACAGATTCCAGATCTGTATGTTAGGTATAATAATACCACTCCATTCAGTTCAGTCTTTATAATTTCTAAATGAGTGGATTAGAAGTGACTCAGATCCTGGTTCACCACACTTAGCACAGAGCCTTATCCCCTATTTCAGTGAGAAAATTAAAGCCATCAGACATGATCTCATTCAGCTTTCTGCCACTATGAACAAACAAATCAAAATGCATGCTTATGTCACACTTCTCCTTTTTCAGCGGATGAGCTACCCCTCCTTCTAATCAGTCCTAACCTCTTCACTATGCTCTTGATCTCCTTCCTTCCTACACCCCACGAGACATCAAAAGTGCCCAAAAGAGAAATAATCAGCTTTAACCATCTACCATCAATTATCCTTCTTCCTTCCTGGCTCTTCAAATAAGCCCTCACTATGCCTGTTTTCCCTCAGCCTGTGAACATTGCTGGCTTCTCCAATTCTAAAAACTCTATATTGACCCCACATCTCCTGTATCTAATATCTAATATTTCTCCTCTTTCATCCACACTTCTCAAAAACCCTTGCCATTTCCCTTTCTCTAACTGGATTTCCTTGCAAGGATAGCAATTGATCTCATAGCAAAATCTAATATTTTCCTATCCTAGTCCTCATAATATTGCATCTCTTCACAACATCCCATATGTTGACTATGTCCTCCTTCTTA
Source organism: Homo sapiens (assembly GCF_000001405.40). Taxonomy (NCBI): domain Eukaryota; kingdom Metazoa; phylum Chordata; class Mammalia; order Primates; family Hominidae; genus Homo; species Homo sapiens. Next base: position 66,136,896 of record NC_000001.11, on the reverse strand, counting down.
GACCTCTTTACTCTGTAATTTATTTGACTCCTTACTCTCCAGGTTCTCCTTCTATCTCAACCATTGCTTCTCTGTCTCTGTCCTTCCCTGCCTTAGCTCACTTTCTGAATGATGGTTTGTCTCCCAGCAATCTGTTTGTATTTTGCATTCCAGTTATCTTCCTTTTTGAACATTCTTTTTTTTTTTTTTTTTTTTTTTTGAGAGGGAGTCTTGCTCTGTCGTTCAGACTGGATTGCAGTTGTGCAATCTTGGCTCACTGCAACCTCTGCCTCCTGGGTTCAACCCCAGCCTACCGAGTAGCTGGGATTACAGGCACCTGCCACCACGCCCATCTAATTTTTGTATTTTTAGTAGAGATGGGGTTTCATCATGTTGGCCAGGCTGATCTCAAACTCCTGACCTCAGGAGATCTGCCCGCCTTGGCCTCCCAAAGTACAAAGTACTGGGATTACAGGCATGAGCCACTGTGCCCTGCCCCTTTGTGAGCATTCTTACTGCGAGGGTGAAGGTGGGAAGAAAAAGGATCTCATCATTTCAATTACCACTTCTAATTGAACAATTCACATATCTCTGAAATAGAAGATAAAAATGGGGTTCATTCTACTTTGGTTTTGGTTGAAGCCCTGGAAGAACAAATATCAACTAGTCCATGTTTCAGGATAAATGCTATAGCACCTGAGCAGAACTTAAAGTAGAAAGGATATCTTAGATTAGGGTGGTACTAGTGGACCATTAAAAAGTGGAACTGCATGGTGAGTGGGAGGGATGGGAAGGGGCTGTAAGTAGCCAGCCTAAGGATACACACTGCTGACATCAAGGGAGCTATAATTAGCATAGTTCAGTAGGCAATTCTTCAATGAGCCCATGAAAGTACCCACAAGAGAAAGAATCACCTTGAAACATCTGAAACAACCAGATCAACCCAATACCAGATTACATTGGTATTAGTCAAGAGAGACCTTTCATGGCCCAATTTTTCCTCCCTCATTCCATCTTTTTCATGTCCAAAGTTTGGGAGGGCAGATTCTTTAGCTTAAAATGCAAACTTGAAATTTAACTACCATATGAAACCAGATATTTTAATTATCAAAATGAGAGTATTGGAGAGCAAAAATTGACCACGAGACTTCTATGGTTGCAGTCTCTCAAGCTGTACTTATTAAGTATACGAATACATCTATATTATTGGCCCAGATCTCTTCTCTGAGGTTCATGTTCATAATTCCAGCATCTGAATGTGTATCTCAAACTGAATGCCTCACATAGCCCTCAAATTGAGCACCCCAAACTAAATTTATCCACTCCTAAACTTGTTTCTATCTCTATATGTGTTCCCAGTCATTGGCATCAATCATCCTTGATTTCCATATTTCAATCATTATCTCCAAGAGCCAAGTCAATCTCCAAGCATTGCCCTATTCTTCACACTCTATTCTTATTGCCAGTGTGCTAATTCAGATCTTCATCATTGCTTCCCCTGATGGCGAGACTGACTTGTCTCTCTGATTCTAGTCCTGATAACTCAAATTAACTGCTGACACTGCGAATCCCTTCATTAGGGTTATCTATAAAAAGTAAAAATCTGATGGTATAAAACTCTTCAATGATTTCTCATCACCTAAAAAATTACATCTGAGTTCTTCATCAAAGTAATCTTTGTTCTTTAACTACCTGCCTATATTTATCTCAAGCTACATATTGCTTCCAACTGTAAGTGCCAGCTATATTGATATGTCTGTCCACCCTCTGCTTCCACCAATACACACCAACACATGGGTGCTTGCTGCTTCACTGTCTGTTCATTCTGTTATTGATACCTTGGCATGTCTTTCTCATTCATCTACCTCATACCACCAAATTCTTCATCCTATAAGACTCAACCCAGGAATCAACTTCTTCAGGAAGCCAATTCTAGTATTATCCTTTTGTACGACTATGTAATTATGCATGATATGACATAGTTCTATCCCTACAGATATGACTTCACGCTGTATCTTTCTGTTTTATCTCCCTCACCAGATTATATTGCTTGACAGAAGTGACTACATTTTATTTATCTACACGGCTCTAAAGCCTAGACCAAACAAAGTATTTGGCACATGGCACACATGTAATAAACAGTTTTGGAGAAAAGGAAATAATTGTATAAAACAGTATTTTACAAACAACCTCTCATCACATTGTTTCATTTGACTCTCAGAACAAAATCGTGCATTAGATATTTTTCACTTCTCTCTTTAAAATAAGGAAATAGCCTTAGATAGCATAAGCAACCTGTTAAAGACCACCAAATGAATTAAGTGTAGCAAGGAACGTGTACCTATGCTTCCCAAGTCAAGGACCCATGTTCAGCCCAACAAGCCACAATGGTACCCTTTGGACGCTGAGTCTAAGCACATATGTAAAATAAGGCATACAGTGTCTGATAACATGAGTAGGAGTTTCCTCCAGCCCTGAAATATCAAAAAGAGAAGAATCAAATACTGTAAAAATAAAAGAGAGGCTCAGGAGAGATGTGGTAAAAGGCCGTGGTACCTTTGAGAGTTCTGCTCTTCTAGGTACCACTTCTATCTTAGTGCATTCAATTATAAAATAGAGAAGTTTTTAAATGACCACATAATTGCTTTGGTTTATTCAAAGCAACTCCATGGTGCCAGCTTTGTAACTATCTGCCTAAGACATAATTGTTTCTCTGGCTGAATCAGAGTATGTTTTCCCTAGGAAGCCAGCATGGTTCTGGCACAACAAGAAAACTGTTCTTTTGGTTTCAACATATTCATCTGTAATCTCTATCTCATCTTAGAAAAGATTCCACTCTTTAAGGGCAGCCTTAGAAGTCTTTTTTTTTTTTTTCCAGTTTTGTGTATATAGTTTTGAGATAGCAACCTATGCATTTCTCTCTCTGCCTTTTTCCTATTCCCTTCTCTTCCACTGAAGCAAGAGGCAGGCCCTGAGCTCACTTGTCTCCCAGGGGAGAAATAGGGAAAGTCAGAAAGCTTTTAGGACAGTAGATAAAAGGGACATATAGAGAGTGAAAGCCCAACTCCAGCTACCAACTCCCTCCTACTCCCCACCTTCCAGGTTTGGGGCCTAAGAGTACAAAGGGCCTGGGCTCTGCTTCCCCAAAGTATATTGAGAAGGTAGCAAGACACCAGGAAGGAGATGGCTTCTAGGCAGAGAGGATCAAAGGAAGACTTGCTTAAGATTCCTGGGCCCCAAGGATTACAAGGAGGTAACACATGCTGTTATAGTAAACCTAAAGAAGCTATGAGGATAGAAACAACAGACTTCTTATGGTCAAGTCAGCCTGTAGGCTCAATGACTCAAGACAAGGTTGTCCTATATTCATACTTTGCAGTAAGCCCAAGGAATTGTGATTCACTCTTGAGGTTGAGAATGCCAGAAAGACCTAAGCTTAAGTTTTCTACTAGGTAAGCAAAATAGGACTCGGAGACAGAAATTAGGATACATTAGTGAAAGTAAAGACAGTAATATTTACTTTATTCCCAAGTTTGTGAAATGAGATTCATAAATAAGCAATAATAATAATAACATTCATTGAGATTTCTTCAGATACTTGTTTGATGGTGATACCCAAAGCTGTCTCTAATATATGGGAAGTTGAGAGGATCACCTGGACCTTACAAATTTTGTGAACCATTATATTGTGGGAAAATGTGAATAGCACTGTACAAAGAGAATCACTCACTGAAAAAAACAGAGGCAACCTTCCTGCTTCTGTATCTGAGTCCTTATCTCCCAATTTCCTCCTCTTCCTCCTATTTTTTTCACTTTAAACAAAATCCTAAAAATGCAACATTGGAGGAGATTGCTGGGGTTCCTTGTCCTTGATGCATGCCCTCAAAGCAAGTAGCCCTGGTATATCAACTCTTGCATCTCACTGCCACCTCAGAAGAAAAGAATTTCCAAACATAACATTTTCTAAGATATGCCACTGCTGAGCTCTATCTGAGTCCCCTAGTCCTAAAAAGCCTGTTAAACAAGTTGGATGACCTTGGTCTTCTCTGGGGTCTTTTTCTTGAATCATTGCTAAAGCCAAGAAGAGAATTGTTAAGTGCAAATGCACACACTGCAAAAATGTATGCTGGTGAGCCCAAGTTTCCATCAAAAGTTGCTCTGTGTGATCTGGAGACAACAAAAACAGTAGGTCTGAGGTACACAATTTCAAGACAATGGGGAAAAAAGAGGGAGAAATAATACGAAAGAAATAATCCAGTCACGCAGTCTCAGCAGGCCTTCATGTCTAACTTCCTTTGAAACTAAAAGGCCAATAAAACAATTATTTGTCTCTTTAAGAAGGGTCAGAGTTTATCTGCAGGCCTTTATAGCACCAACAACAAATGAGATCAGAGAAAAGTCAGTATAATTTATATTATGTTCCTGTACTCCACATTCATTGCCATCACAAAATACGGAGCACGAACACTGTGTCAGCCACTGAACATGAGTCGCCAATCCTAAAAATAGCCCTGCAAACTAAGTTTTATTATCCTATTTTACAAATAAAAAAGAAACCTAAAATTCAGAAGATAACTTCCAGTTAGAAAGAAACAGAGATGGATTTTGAAGTAGATCTATCAGACTACAAAGCTTATGTTCTCCCAGCTATACTGTAGTGCTCTCCAACTATCTCCTCTTCAGTTCAATAAGTAATGCCTGAATGTTCATTGAATATACTCAGTTTTTCAGGGACACTCTAAAGTCAGAATGATCTTATAAAAAAAGGATCATGTCATTCTATTGTTCAGAACACACTAAAAACTTATCATCACACCTAGAATAAAATCCAAATTCTCTTTCCTAGCCCACAAGTGATGGGCTCTTACCTAACCCTAAAGCCTCATCTATACCTTCCCCATCACTTGCTCTGCTTCAGCCATACTGCTTTTCTTTCTGTTTTCCAAAGTTCTTCCTATTCCCTCATAGGGTTCTACATTGGTCTTTTGCCTAGAAGGCTCTTCTCACAGATCCTGAAGTGGTTGAAACCTCACTGCTTAGAGGTCAGCTGACAGAGAGGCCTTGTTTCCATATGTGTTTGCTTGTTGACTGTCTCCCTACCTCTGGTATGATATACGGTCTTGTGACAGGGACCATGTTTCTCATTCATTGTTCTATTCCCATTGCTTAGAACACTGTCTGGTACATAGTAGGTTCGCAATAAATATTGTTGATTGAATTAATGTGTTATTACTAAAAGAGTTCAAAATGTTAAATCATCATCCTTTCCCTGGTTAGTAATATATATATATATATATATATATATATATATATATATATATATATCTGGCATTCAGAAAATATTGAAAATATTGAAAGTTAATATTAGCATTATCTGATTTTGCCATTTTCATAGCCAACATATACATATTTTTAATATAAGTACTCATTTTCTCTCTTATGTACAGCCATTCTAGATTCAGGACCTGTTTTCAATGTCATTAATACGTTCTTTAAACATGATTTCTCATAAATATTTTATGTTGTTTATAGTTCTTTATTTTGATCTTCCAATTTTTATTACATATTGGAAATAATAAGGTCAAATAAGTAGCTGCTTAGTGGAATTGACTTATTAGCAAAGCCCCCATATAAAAAAATGGTGTGAAAATCTTCTTCTAGTTGTCAATACTTCCACCAAGCTTCATTTGCTCATTAGCTCTTACCCTCTTCCTGCTATTGGGGACACTTGGACATATCCACTCTACCTTTATATGTTTTTTACCTTTGCACAACACTTTTGACTAATTTTGAGACTTTGGACTGCCAACCTGAAATTGAAAAATTAAACCTGGTAAAGGCCTAACCTTATAAGGGCCATTTCCAACCTTGAACCCCATTTCTAATTGCTGGGCTTTTACAACATGCATGACATTTGGAGACAGCATCCTAATCCCACCACATATTGCCTACATGGGCTTGGGTGAAATAATAAAACTTCAGATTCTTCACTTGTAAAATGAATTTCCAAGAAATAGAATCTGAATCTTTAAGATTTGTGTGCTACAGATTTATTTGGCTAGTGGTTTTAGGAACAACACACCCATAAGAAGTGAGAAAAACAGGATTTGACAGAGGGAGATGATCTGTGATTCTGTTGCAACAGGGGCCTCAGGTGAGCCTACCGAGGATCTGGAGCTGGGATGACCCTTCAGCGATGTTCAAAATTGAGTATAGTTCAAAATTGAGTATAGGGTATAGCCTACATAAATCAGTCATGGGATGCAGGCTGCCCCCAGGAAGGACCATGATTCTGGGTGAGGTGTCTATCTTTGGTTGAGAGCACATATCTTGATAGAGAATCATATAAGAGGCTTTGACTGCCAACATTTGGGGACAGCTGGGAGAGTGAGTGTAGTTCGGTCCTTAAGTGGGGGTCTGTGAGGTGTCCCTCAGCATCCACTACATGGGATTGATCATATTTTCCCAAATTTCATGTGATTTCAAATGAGATCATGTATGTGGACAGCATTTAGCCTAGTCCCTGGCACTCACCACTAAATAAACAATTGTCACATGAATGAATGAATGAAAGAATAAATGAATGAACGTTTTACAAATGCCACATTTTGTTGTCAGTATTTACTGTTTCCTGTACGCTACTGTCTGTCATGAGTCATGAGTGTCTCCCTTTTGTTCACAAATTGCCCAAGCTAAACTTTTTAAGGAGGCTCCACTTGGTCTCCCATGAGGGACCTGTTGCCATTTCACAAATCAATCCATTCTCCCATTTGCTTTGATTGATAATCTATACTTCTAAGTCATGTAAAGATTTGAGCCATGTGGGATGAGTTAGATAGCTGCATGTTGGATCTCTGCAGTTGGAATTTTGGGGATTTGTAGAATTAGGGTTAGGCTGAGAGAAGTCCAAACTCTCACAGAATGTTTTAAAAATAACTTCTGTTTTTTAGATGATAGTGTTAACCTAGCAAGGTAATTAAATTATTTCACATTAGCTGGCCCATGCATGGAATTTGCATTAAAAACAAGAAAAATGTAATACATCTCCTGAATTAAGACAAAGTCATATTATGTGTAGCATCACAGTGCTTTTTATGGAATAGTTCCCATATTTTAAAGAAATTCCTCTAGCACACACACTTTTTACACATATTATCTTAATATACAACCTTATGAAATAGATATGTCTTTCCCCATTTTACAGAGAGGTTTTTTTTTTTGTTTTTTTGTTTTTTTGTTTTTTTGTTTTTTTTTTTTTGAGACGGAGTCTCGCTCTGTCGCCCAGGCTGGAGTGCAGTGGCGGGATCTCGGCTCACTGCAAGCTCCGCCTCCCGGGTTCACGCCATTCTCCTGCCTCAGCCTCCCAAGTAGCTGGGACTACAGGCGCCCGCCACTACGCCCGGCTAATTTTTTTTTGTATTTTTAGTAGAGACGGGGTTTCACCGTTTTAGCCGGGATGGTCTCGATCTCCTGACCTCGTGATCCGCCCGCCTCGGCCTCCCAAAGTGCTGGGATTACAGGCGTGAGCCACCGCGCCCGGCCACAGAGAGGTTTAAATGATATGCTAAGTTACAGACTTCGTAAGGGGCAGAGCTATGACTTCTAATTTTGACTATTATGCTATCCCCACCCACTGTAATTTCACTGTTATCTTGTTTTCTATTTCAAAAATGTGTCTTCTTAATGTATAAATGTTTTATTATTTTATTCTATTGTCAAACATTTTGTAGCACTTAATATGTTAGGTCCAAGCTACAAGAGGAATAACACAACGTCTCTAGATGCAAACACTCACATGGGCAAGGCCAACTACTACAAAAAGAAGTACATAAGAAGAATCCCTCAGATTTGTGTAAAGCAAATCTACTTCCCTCAGTTTCCTTATTTCTTAATTCAATCATAATAGTTTGCTGATATGGTTCGGCTGTGTCCCCAACCAAATCTCATCTTGATTGTAGCTCCCATAATTCCCATGTGTTGTGGGAGGAAGTCGGAAATAATTGAATCATGAAGGTGGTTTCCCTCATACTGTTCTCATGGTAGTGAATAAGTCTCATGAGATTTGATGGTTTTATAAGGGGTTTTCCCTTTCACTTTGCTCTCATTTTCACTCTTGCCTGCTGCCACATAAGACGTACCTTTCACCTTCTGCCATGATTGTGAGACCTCCCTAGCCATGTGGAACTGTGAGTCCATTAAACCTCTTTTTCTTTATAAATTACCCAGTCTCGGGTATGTCTTTATCAGCAGTGTGAAAATGGACTAATAGATATGCAAAGCCAGACTATTATGTGGCTGTCAAATTTTCTTAAGAAGAAGAAGTTATGTCCAACATCAAATAAATACCAATAAAGAATGAAGCCTTCAAGGTGACAAATATCATCATTAGAACAGGCTGTTTCTTCTCAAGTGAACATCTTGAATACATGCTATTTAGACTCCGATATAAATGCAACCTAATGGTCAGAGGAAAATCACATTCTCCCCAAATTGTACATTTTATGACTCTAATGAGACGATGGCAACAACTCTGTTGTTAATTTTTTAAAAATTCAATACAATGAAAATTACACAAATACAGTATTATTTTCAGGGAACAAAAATAAAATAAAGTGTTCCTTTGGAAAAATCTCCAAGGAGAGCTATTTTATGACACGGTATCTCCCTGGAGACTGGTTATGGAATTTTCTTGCAGAAAACATTTTATGTGATAAAAATGGAATGCATTTGTTTCCTTGGAAACAAACCCTTTCACCTTGATTGCACAGAATTTGAAAAAAATTTAGTAATTAAACCCAGAATCTACCTATGTTAAAATAGTGGGATTTTCAAACACATGGTATTATTAGAAATAATGCTCAATAAAACCCACTTACATCAGTTGAGGTCAAACATATAAACATTTACATGATTTAAAGTATAGACATCTAGCATTCTAAACACTGAAATAGAATTACCTAAGAACTCTTACACTTTAGCTTAGAAAATCCCCCAATCAAAGTCACAAGCTGACTAAAATAATCTTCTCAGCCATAAAGAAGAAACTGAGAAAGACATAATTGGAGTAATAAAAATATTAGCTATTAGAAAGTTCATAATGAAAAAGTCAACACTATGATGCCAGTAATCTTGAGCCAATAATATCTCCTGGGGATAAAAAAATGTTTTCTAAATTAAAAGAAAATTGTTTTCTTTGCTAATGACGGGCCGTATAGCCCTACACCTTTTTACACCCCAGAATCAACCTCCTGAATATACTTGAGAAATCGCATGCTTTCTGTTTTGTGTTATATACTATTTTTAGGGTAATGTAAACAGAGGTGGGGCACAAGACAGGTTAAGACTAATTCTGATATTAGTTAAGACTAATCTATAACTAAATCATATATTTTATTTAAATTCTATACTTTAGTACTAGAATAAAGATGTTACAGAAATACAACCATCTTTTTCCCTTTGTTTCAAATTTCCTTTAACACAATGATTTGGATCAGCTTTCAACATTATATACCCTTTATTAAAAGTTCAAATCAGTTAGAAGTATCCCTAACGTGTAAAGACAATTATTTACATCATTTTTATTTTGAAAATAGTTTAAACTTACAAAAAAGCTACAGAAAGAGTAGAGAGTTGCTGTGTACCATTCATCCTTCAGCCAGCTCCCCTATTGTTTCCCCTAAGGTATGCAGAGCCATACCTTCATGCGAGATGTATTCCTAGAACATATTCATAGTACAATCTTAAAAACTAAGGAATTGTCATAGTACAATACTATTAACTAAACTACTGTCTTTACTGGTATTTTGCCAGTTTTTCCACTAATGGCTTTTGTCTATTCCATGATCCAATCCAGTATCTCATATTCCATTTAGTTTTTTAATTGCCTTATTTATCTTCAGTCTATAATAGTTCCCCCCTCTTTCTTTGTCTTTCGTGATCTTGATATTTTTAAAGAGAACAGATTAGTCATTTTGCAGAATGTCCTTGTAAGTGATGCACGCTTGAAGTATATCCTGTGAGGTAAAAGCTGATGCCCACCTGTCTTCTTACTGTTGATATTAAATGTATCACCTTGTTAAGGTGGAATCTGCTTGGTGTCTCCATTACAAAATTAGTATTTTTGCTTTTGTAATTAAAAATATCTTGAAATAAACACTTTATCACTATAGACATATCTGTCATTTCTCAAACTTTCACCAATAATTTTATCATTCACTGGTGGATCTTGCCTGCAACTATTATTACTCCTGGGTTCTAATGGCAACTTTGTATTTCTCTAATTCCTTCTACATTTATTTATTAACTGAAACTCTTCTAAAAGGAGAAGCTTTAAGGACAGTTCTGTTTGTTGGTTTGGTTTGAAAATAAATTATCATTTTACTTTTTGTTCTAGGTTTTCTGAAACATATATATTTTAGGTCAAAGCTTTCATCTTAATAAGGCAGGGCTGGGATGAGTTAATGGCATCATGGACCAAGAAGTTTAAAGTTTAAAAATGTGTAGGGGGGTACATAGAGTAAATACTATAGTGAAAGCTTCTACCTCTGAAATAATTTATTTGTATTTCATATTAGTAATATCAGAAGCTTAGTAGAAAGTTATCATCTTGATTATTTTGTTAGTTAGGAACTGACCTTTGTGTTCATGTTCCAACTCAAATATCTCTTTTCAAAATATTTCTCTGACTTACTCTGCAGAGTAATTAATTCACTCCTTTTTATTGTCCCTTAGTGACTAAGACTATAAGCTCCTTGAGATCAGCCACCTCATCTTATTTATCCCTGAACTTTTATCACTTAACAATACAATGTTGGGTGGGCGCAGTGGCTCACGCCTGTAATCCCAACACTTTGGGAGGCCGAGGTGGGTGGATCACCTGAGGTCAGGAGTTCGAGACCAGCCTGGCCAACATGGTGAAACCCCATCTCCACTAAAAATACAAAATTAACCTAGTGTGGTGGTGCATGCCTGTAATTTCAGCTACTCAGGAGGCTGAAGCAGGAGAATCGCTTGAACCTGGGAAGCAGAAGTTGCAGTGAGTCGAGAACACGCCATTGCACTCCAGCCTGGGCAACAAGAGCGAAACTCCATCTCAAAAACAAAACAACACAAAAGCACAATGTTAATATATGTGGCTTAAAATTAATGTTCAACAAATTTTTGACTGATGGGTGGATGAATGGGTGAATGGATGAATTAATGGATTCATGACTACAGTAAGTCCTCACTTAATGTCATCAATAGGTTCTTGGAAACTGCAACTTTAAGCGAAATCCCAGATAAGGAAACCAATTTTACCATAGGCTAATTGATGTAAACAAGAGTGAAGTTCCTACAGTGTCCAAAACATCACCAAATTTCTAAATAAAGCCCAAAACACTTCTCATATTAAGCATTGAAATAAATGTGAACTATATATACATACATTTCAGAAAAAGTAATTAAAACAAGTAAGGGGCAGGGCGTGGTGGCTCACGCCTGTAATCCCAGCACTTTGGAAGGCCGAGACAGGTGGATCATGATGTCAGGTGTTTGAGACCAGCCTGACCAACATGGTGAAACCCCATCTCTACTAAAAATACAAAAACTAGCTGGGCATGGTGGCTGGCACTTGTAATCCCATCTACTCGGGAGGCTGAGGCAGGAGAATCGCTTGAACCTAGGAGACAGAAGTTTCAGTGAGCCAGGATCACGCCACTGCATTCCAGCCTTGGCGACAGAGTGAGACTCCATCTCAAAAAAAAAAAAAAAAGGAATAGTATGGGCCATCATGAATTGCAAAATGACTAGTCCAAGCATTTAGAGATATAGGAAAGAAATATCAGTATGGACTAGATTGAGACTCCGTCTCAAAAAAAAAAAAATAGTAAGGTAATTATGCCACTTCAAGCACACAGATGACCAGAGTCTATCCTGGCAGCTCAGGGTGCAAGGTGAGAACCAGCCCTGGACAGGCTGCCATTCCATCGCAGGGCACACACACACACACACACACACACGCATACACACACACAGCTCGTTCAGGCTAGGACCACTTACAGAAGCCAATTCACTTAAGGAGCATATCTTTGGGATGTGGGAGGAAACTGGAGTACTGGGAGAAAACCCACGCAAACACAAGGAGAACGTAAATTGCACCCAGACAGTGGCTTGAGCCAGGAATTAACTTTTTTTTTCCCCTCATTGATGTTATGAGGAAACAACATTGAACAAAACTGCATTACTAGAGGACCTGCTGTACCTACCTTCAGTGAGCTCTATCTAGTGAGAATTTGAAATATTATAGGCAAAATATGGGGGATGATATATTGAAAGAGTCTAGTTCAGCCATTAAAAAGTCACATGGTCATAGCAAAAGTATTTTGCCTTTATGTGTTTCAGTTTCCCCATCAAATCAACTGATTAGATGATCCATAAAGTCACTTTCAAAAATAACACATTCCGTCATTCTAACATCTACTTGGATGTTGCCGAAATAGGAGCACTGCAGACTCTTTTCAAAGTGTCCAATTGAATAATTTATAAGCAAGTACTTGTGTTCTTTCTAGAACCAGAATTTTTATATTTTATCTAATTTGCATCAGTGTAAAATTAGATCCTGTTTCGTATTACTGTCAATCTGCTAGCTCTTCAGAACTAACAAAGGAAAATGATCATTTTCCATTTCAAGCTATGGCAACAGTAAGCACATTTTTTGGTGTCTTCCCGACTTCCCTGGAAGTACATTTATGCATTATGCCAGTCCTGCTTCACTCAAACTGATGTTCTTAAGCACATCGCCTCTCATGAGACAAATCCATAACCTGAGAAATAAAATTAAATGCTTAATGGCACCACACAGACATTTCAGTGCAGAAGTTTTCTTTAAACTTGCTAATGAAAACAATACCTTGCATTTGCTTTGCTTTTTGTATTTCTAAAGAGCTTTCTCATTAATCACTTTGTATATGGGAACATTTTAAAAACTTTCATGAGCTGAACAAAAGTTATGTATTGTTATTATCATTATTGTCATATGATAACCTATGGAAGTAGACAGGGAGAGCAAGAGCCTTTAACCCAGTGTACAAGTCAAGTAAAAAAGCCACTGGTAGGCTAAGGGATTTAATGATCACAAGTACTGTGAGTAAATTCATTCTTCTACGTATTTTGAAAAGCATCTGCTCTTGGCCTAAAGGCACTCACAATTTAGTAGATGCATCTAACCATAATTAATTTGTTTTTATTTGATGAATTGAGGGTAAGAAGGGTGAAAGTGTCTGTGATGATTATTTAAGGGCAATATTTGCCAGCTTAACAGAAGCAGAATAACATTAAAGCCTTTAAAAAAAAAAGACAAATAAAAGAATAAGAGAGGGAGGGAAGGAGGGAGGGAGAGAGGGAGAAAAGGAGGGAGGGGAGGAGGGAGAAAGGAGAGAGGGAATGACAAAGGAAGAAAGGCAGGCAGGCATTCTCCACTCCCACCTATATCCTAATAACTCACTTGAAAAATCAAATTGAGAAAGTATAATTCAAAAATCTGAAAGTGCCGATGAAAGTAAGTGTCTTAGAAAGCAAGTTGGACAGACATAAAAGCTACTGTGGAGGGATAACATTCAAAATGCTGTCAAGAAAGTTACATTTGTGCACTTTTGCCAAAACTGTTAGAATCTCACTTATCATACACGTTGAACTCAGTTATTAGAAAAGACATAAAGCAAGCCATTTTCTCTTGTTAAAATCATTGTCTTCAAAAAAAGGAATCAAAATTTCATGGGCCTACCTATTTCAAGTAAAATATGCTTACTAGCGTGTGGAAAAATACTGATCTTTTCAAATGTCAAAATATGATAGACTGGAAGCACCCAATAAAGGAAAAAGAAAAGAGAAACAGATAAATGGTCAAAATATAGAGCTCTTGAAAAAAAATCCTGGCCAGGCATGGTGGCTCACATCTGTAATCCCAGCACTTTGGGAGGCTGAGGCAGACAGATCCCCTGAGGTCAGGAGTTCAAGACGAGCCTGGCCAATGCGGTGAAACCCCATCTCTACTAAAAATACAAAAATTAGCCAGGCGTGGTGGCAGGCACCTGTAATCCCAGCTACTTGGGAGGCTGAGGCAAGAGAATCACTTGAATCCGGGAAGCAGAGGTTGCAGTGAGCCAAGATCTCACCACTGTACTCCAGCCTGGGCAACAGGAGGAAAACTCTGTCTCAAAAAAAAAAAAAAAAAAAGAAAAGAAGAGAAAGAAAAAAATCCTAAAGAAACTCAAGATCCTCTGACTCCTTATACATAAAATATGTCATGTTCCTCTATCTCAATCAGCAAATAGAAGAAGGCATCTACAATATGGCCATAGTCTTCTAAAAGTGATCTTACGGTTACATGTATAAAATTAACCCACTTAATCAGTCATAGTCCAATAATACATTTAACAAATTATATGGATCTAGGTTGTGGATTCTATATGTTATTCCACAATAACAAAAAATCTTTTTAATATCAAAATATATCTCTTGGGTCTAAAATTAAACAAAGAACAATTATAATGTATTTTTCTACACAATTTTAAAAGAACCCAAACTCAGTGAGGATAAATGTGAAAAAAATCAGCAGATATAATAACAATAAAAATAGACAACACTTACTGAGCACTTAACATGTCCCTGGCACATGGTCTGAGTGTTTTGCATGTGTTAACACATGAATATTCTCAATATTCTTATGCAGTAGTTATTATCATGATCCCATTTTGCAGATGGAAAAATGGACGCTCAAAGAAGCTAAGTAGCTATTTCAGGGTTCTACAATCAGTCAGTAGCCTAGGATTATAGCCTCGGCCATGTGACTTCAAAGTTGTTGCTCTTAACTGCTTTATTATAAAGATGAGAAGGAAGCAGTGAGGGAGAAAGGAGAAAGGAAGGACAGAAGGAGGAAAGGAAGAAAAAGGAGGAAGGAAGAAAGACAGGGACGGAAGGAGACAATGAGAGATATGAGACAGAAAGAAGTAGAGAAAGTTGAGAGGGTGAAAAGGAGAAAGAAAAAATGTGAAAGAAAATGTTTTACCTGACTCAAGTTTCAAAATGACAAATAAGTTTTCTCAATGAACAGCTAATAAGTTGTTGAGCATAATTCTGTGAAAGATGCCAATATGCTCCTGTTAGAAAGCTGGAGGATACGAAGTTATAGCAGAGATAAGGATGCTGTGTTGCTATTTTAGAACATACTGCCAAGAACTGTATTCGGCTGCTTTCCCTAAAAATTGCTACTCATACAAGAATGAAGAAAATTAAAAAGGAAGATTTTCTACCTCGAAACTCAGAGTAGATGCAAACATAAATGGCCATTTTCCTTTTGGAACAACAGAGGCAAGGCACATCTTTCTTGTCTAGTTCTTACTCACGGACAAAGAATAAATATAGCTCCTCCAGGAGCTTAATAACTCAGTGCTGTCTAAACTCCTTACACCTGATGTTGATGCCATGGTTAGATAGTTCTAAATTATCCCCTCTGGCTCATTTCCCACGATTTCCCTTAGTTCAGTCAAACTGAACTATTTGTTTTCAAAATTGCCCCCATACCTGCCTACTCAATGCTCATATTTCCTCATGTTGGAGCAAATTCTACCATTTTTCCAAGTCTCAGCTAAAATGTCCCCCATTACCACTGCAAAATTCCTGATGGCCCCACTCAGAAGTGCTCATTCCTTCCCCTGAATTATCCTCATGCTATGCCTGCATTTGTCTTCGCACTTTTCACTTTCTTCTTGATCCTTTACCTGCCTGACTCCATATCTTACTTCCTCAGAGAGGATAGTAACCCCCTGAGGCAGCACTATTTTCTGGTCTATCCTTAAGGACCTCATGGTACCAAAAGATTGGTTTTTAGAGAGTGGACAAAAACATTTAAAATACATACCTGTTTAGTGTCCACAATGTACATGACACTATGGGGACACATGCATAATCATTAAAGGGCATATACATTTGTAGATATATAATGTACTCTGATATAACATGTGAGACATATAAAATGACTTAAATTCTGTACTCCCAGATAAAATAGTAGGGAAATAAATAGTTCTCATCATAATGTCCACAGAGGTCCCAAACTCAAATGCCTGTGGGACCCATGGAGATAGCATTCATGAGAGAAGCCAGAATTGGAGCTGGTGAAGGAAAAATAGAGAGGGGTAGAGGCAGTGCAAAATAGAGAGTGCAGACTTTTTCAAAGGCAACCACCTTTCAACAGAACTGAGCTGGAAATAGTCATTGTTATTGTGTGGGAATCCTGGCCTGCTATGTCAGAAATTCAGATTTTGATGTGAAACCTTAGAATTTTCATCCTGGCAAATAATTTTTTTAATTAAAAAATTAAAAAATGGTACAGGCAAATAAAACCCATTTGTGTACTGAGTCCAAGTTGTGATCTCTAATGTAAAATATCTGGCCTGAAACTTTCAGGAGATATGATGGAAAGAAGGAGTCAGAGATCCATGATGTATGAGACACAGCACGTCTTTCCTCTAATTCTTGACATCACTACTGGGCAGGAGGAGAATGTACTTCAATTAAATTCCCCCAGGAGATCAGAGAAGGGTGAGCTACTCCTAGGCATACCCCATCCAAACCAAGGGTCTAGGTCAAGGAATCAAAGACGAAGTGGGAAGAGAGGCACAGCTGCAGAACCAGCTTATCAAACTTCTAGAAAGATCAGGGAAGTTTAGAGCTGGAGATCATGTTATCTAGTTCCCTCATTTTGGAAACAAGGAGCTGACATTTGGAGAGGTGACACAGAGATGAAAGCAAATTAGTGACTGTATTCGTTTCCGAAGGCTGTTGTAAAAAAGTACTACAAACTGAGTAGCTTAAACAACATAAATATATTGTCTCACAGTTGTGGAGGTTAGAAGTCTGAAATCAAGGTGTCAGCAGGATTCATCCCCTCTGAGGGATATATGGGAAAATCTTTGTTCCATGCCTCTCTCTAAGCTTCTGGTAGCCTCACCTCAGAGATTCCATGGCTTGTAGATGGCATTCTCATTGTGTCTTCATGTTGTCTTCCCTCTGAGTATATCTGTCCCAAGGTCCAAATTCTCTCTTTTTTAAAAGATACCAGTCATATTAGATTAGGGCCCACTCTAATTACTTCATCTTAACTTGATTATCTGCAAAGACCCTTATTTCTGAATAAGGTAACATTCACTGGGAGTTAGGACTTCAACATCTTTTGGGGGAAACACAATTTAACCCAGAACAGTGACAATGTCCACAATCCAAAACTCTTGCAGAGCTCCCTCTGCTAATTGGAAATCCCAGCAGAAGCTTGTGCCCAGAAAACAGAACTGGGAATTGTGGCAATAACATCAGTTATGGGCAGAGTCCTATAACACAGGACTGCTTTTGTATTTTGGTTTATAGAGAATGCTAGACAATATTATTTCTCCTGGGAAGTGAATACACGCACTTCTTTTCTCTCTACAGTCTGAAGATACGCTCCATTACCCATACATGTTGCCAGCTGCAGAGGCAGCTTCTCTGTGTTCTACTCCATAATAATGGTCTTAAAAGGTCAGGCCCTACCTGATTCTACAAGACTCAATGTAACGAATGTCTCAGTACAGCTGCACCCTGGCCAAAATCACAGTGGAAAACACACCACCGAATACACAAATTACGTGGTAAAGAGGTCTTCCGAAAGCATCTCTCAAAATGAACTTCTGACCTCTTTACTCCCCTATTTCTTCATAAAACACCTTTGAAATTCAACCAAAATCGAGACTAGGCCACATGGCCCAGCTGGCCACATGGAGATTACATGGATCTGAAATAGATTCCTCTGGATCTCTAAGGCTCTTCTGATGTTTAACCTTGTAAATGCTCCTTCATCTCTCTGGATGAATTTTGCTACTTATAAAATGAAATTGAAGAACAGTATACATAGAGATGAAGAAGGGGATATGTTAAAAGAGATGACATTAGCTGTTCCTGTGAGAATCCAGGAAGGCTTCTTCAAAGCGGTAACATTTGAGGTGATTTTGAAAAAAAAGGTTTAGGAATTCACCAAGAAACAAGAAAGAGGGAAAATGCATATGCAAAAGTAGAGAAGAAAGAAAAAATAGGGCACGTTAGGAACAAGGAAGGACTGTACTTACTCAATTATTAAATGCTATCAACTCTAAGACAATCTGTCAATGAAATAATAGGGTTTGGTTTTTTTTTAATTATATTTTAAGTTTTAGGGTACATGTGCACAACATGCAGGTTTGTTACATATGTATACATGTACCATGTTGGTGTGCTGCACCCATTAACTCATCATTTACATTAGGTATATCTCCTAATGCTATCCCTCCCCCTTCCCCCCACCCCACAACAGGCTGTGTGATGTTCCCCTTCCTGTGTCCAAGTGTTCTCATTGTTCAATTCCCACCTATGAGTGAGAACATGCGGTGTTTGGTTTTTTGTCCTTGCAATAGTTTGCTGAGAATGATGGTTTCCAGCTTTATCCATGTCCCTACAAAGGACATGAACTCATCCTTTTTTATGGCTGCATAGTATTCCATGGTGTATATGTGCCACATTTTCTTAATTCAGTCTATCATTGTTGGACATTTGGGTTGGTTCCAAGTCTTTGCTATTGTGAATAGTGCCGCAATAAACATATGTGTGCGTGTGTCTTTATAACAGCATGATTTATAATCCTTTGGGCATATACCCAGTAATGGGATGGCTGGGTCAAATGGTATTTCTAGTTCTAGATTACAAGAAAAAAACAAACAACCCCATCAACAAGTGGGTGAAGGATATGAACAGACACTTCTCAAAATAAGACATTTATGCAGCCAAAAGACACATGAAAAAATGCTCATCATCACTGGCCATCAGAGAAATGCAAATCAAAATCACAATGAGATACCATCTCACACCAATTAGAATGGTGATCATTAAAAAGTCAGGAAACCACAGGTGCTAGAGAGGATGTGGAGAAATAGGAACACTTTTACACTGTTGGTGGGACTGTAAACTAGTTCAACCATTGTGGAAGTCAGTGTGGCGATTCCTTAGGGTTTGGTTTTTTAAGAAAAAGAAGCAATCACATCTTATCTGTACATATCCATTTTCATATGCATCCTCTTTTTAAGTAATAATGACATATAGAAAAGAAAAATGTACCAGAACCAAAGAAAACTCAGATGGGCTGATAAATTCCACTCAGCTCTAATATTTTATAAGTCCGTGGACTGCCAGGATCCCAGAAACTACCTCACTTTATCAATGAAAAATTGAGTACTCACTATGGATAAAGCTATATGCTGGGTATTATGAGGAACATACAAAAATACTTTAGAAATAACTGTGGCCCTGGAAACTTAGAAAAAAAAAACCTAGGTAAAATCTGTGTCTGTTTCTACCACATCTCTTCCAACTGCACTCAAGCATAATATTATATCCACCAGTATTAAAAGTTACCTTCCCAGATAATTTCTATAATTATGGCTTGTGAAGGTCTTCTGGACTCCCAATTCTTTTAATGACACTTTTAAATCAGTGACACAACAGAGTGTTCACTTATAAACAGTTGTGAAGAGGGTGGGAAGTAATTTCTCGGTAACACTCAAGTATCTTGGCCCATGAATTCGATTTAAGAAAATCTCTGTAAGATCATCAACTTTTTTTTTCTGGCAACTAGTAAGACTTTTCTTGAGAAAACAAAGTGATGGAATATAGCTTGAGCCAATGGAATTGTGAATAATCTACAACCTACTTACCTATGCTGCAGTCCACATTCAATAATTTTCCTGAATGTCTGTTTTTCTTTTATCCACAGGTAATTGTCTCCTTCTCCTCATTAGATATTTAAAAAATAAAAAATGGAATTTTTGAGAAAGCAATCAATACACAATGATCAAGAGAGGGTATGGGGCAGTCACCGGCACTTTGGAAGACCAAAGCTGGATTGGAGGGGTGGCAAATAATGAGGGCGGGCAGAGATGGACTCAGCCAGGTGACATCCTGGGGCTGTAGCTGAAAAGGGAACCAGAATGAACCCTTGTCTAGAAGTCTTTATATATGCCAGGTGCGGTGGCTCACCCACGTAATCCTAGCAATTTGGGAGGCCGAGGATGGAGGATTGCTTGAGCCCAGGAGCTGGAGACCAGCCTGGGCAACATGGCAAAACCCCATCTCTACAAAAAAATACAAAGATCAGCCGGGTGTGGTGGCACATGCCTGTAATCCCAGGTACTCAGTAGGCTGAGGTGGGAGGATAGCTTGAGCCAAGAAGGTTGAGGCTGCAGTGAGCTGTGATTGTGCAACTGCCACTCCAGCATAGGTGACAGAGCAAGATCTTGCATGGGGTGGTGGGCTGGGGGGGTCTTTATACTGACCTCCGGATGTTGACACCCTCAGTCCAATCTTGAGGCAAAAAAATTGGAAGAATTCTAAAGGATGTGACTATGCTGTATGATGAAACAGAAGCATTGCTGCCTTCCAGGATGTGTGTGGTGGGAGTTGGGGGGAGGAAGGGAGCCCAGCACAAAGTACCTAGTTGAATGCCCTGTCTGCTTTCTCTGTCTCATTATGCTAAAGCTAGGACTACCCTTGAACACAGAGGTCCAAACCAGCTTTTTAATGGACCCTTTCCTAAATATAAACAGACAATCAAGAATCATCAGACATTTGAGGAAAGCCTAAAACATGAGAGAGACCCAGATAAAAAAAAAACCCAGAAATAGAGATAATTTGACAAGGTTTTCAAAATCCGGGCATGCCCATGCAAGTGAACATCAACTTTAATGAGCATCTCAGCAGAAAAGTAGGTTAAGAACGAACTGCTCTTCTAATGTTTGTTCTAACCCTCTAAGGTTTCTGTCTTCCACACATTGGATAAGCATTCTGTAAACCATGCTTAAGGAGTGCTAGAATTTCACTAATACAATCAAGAAATATAAAAGAAATAGAATGTTGCCAATGCTAAAACTGTAAGATAAAGTATTATATATAAAGAAAGAAGGAGGATTACGTACAAAGTCATAGAAAAACAGGAGTCAAATAAGTTAACTTGGCAATATTAATTTAGAATATCCAGAGGACCTTGAATCTATAGGACATCAGAATTTAAACAAAAGAGCATTATCATCAAAACAAGGCCATTTTATCAAGATTCTTCACATCTTCAGCAAAATATACCAACACTATCAACTATTTCCACTCAGATTCTAGCTCTTCAGTGCAATGATCTGAGAAATTTGTCCACACAACTAATTGAAAAAGAGGAACAAGTTTTCAGACAGCGAATGTGCCTACTGGGACGCCCCCATAGTCTGGCATTCTATATTCTATATGAGACAATTTCATGTTTGATTAACATATTATCAATTTCCTAGGGTCTGATTAACTTTTATGCAAGGTTAAGATCAAATTCTGGACCCAAATGCTTGATGAATTCATAAAAATAATGCTATTCTGGATTGTCTTGGCTGGGCAGCCAGGTAGTTCCTTGCTTGGCAACAACCCTCTGTATTTAGTGTGCATTTCTCTATCATAGTGAGTCTCAATATTGGCTGCACATTAGAACTATCTGGGGAGTTGTTAAAAAATGCTTATGTTCAGATCAACTCCAGATATGCAGACCAATTTATCTGTCGTGAAAACGGGGCATTGGTGTGTTTGAAGTTGACCCGAAAGTAAGCAAGAAAAGAGAACCATTGCTCTGAGGTAAATTAATGTAGGTCAGTAGTTTAAATTAATATTGGGCTGCTGACAGGTCAGTATGAATTGCATCATCCATTTTGAATATTAATATTATATTACCAATGGTCATTTAGGCTCCATGATCACACAATTTCAACAAAGGGAAATTATGGAGAGAAACATTATTACTTAAAAGATAAAAGAATTTTTTGATACCTGGAACTTCTCAAGAATAAATTGGATTGTAAACTCCCCAATTTTGGAAGGTTCTGACACTGGATAAAATTCAACTCCATATTTTTTATATGACTGGGTGTGGTGGCTCACCCCTGTAATCCCAGTACTTTAGGAGGCTGAGGCAGGTGGATCACTTGAGGTCAGGAGTTCGAGACCGGCCTGGCCACTATGGTGATCTCTTGTCTCTACTAAAAGTACAAAAATCAGCCAGGTGTGGTGATGTGTGCCTGTAGTCCCAGCTACCCGGGAGGCTGAGGCAGGAGAATCGCTTGAACCCAGGAAGCAGAGGTTGCAGTGAGCCGAGATTGTGCCATTGCACTCCAGCCTGGGTGTCACAGCCAGACTCCGTCTCAAAAAAAAAAAAAAAAAAAAATTGTGGGCTACTGTATGCAAGGAGATGAAAAAATAAGTAAGACATAGTCTGTGTTTTCAGAGAGTCTTTAAGGGGTTTCTTTTTATTCTAAGCTTGTATAATTTGCATATAAGTTACGTTATTTTTTCAGACTAATAATAAAATTCTGAACTAAGAATTAGTATTTTCTGCCTTTTCTTGGATTTGACTTTTATTTGAAAATTTATTTTATTATTTGGTACTTTATATATCTCTTGCTGGCTGCAGAACCTTCAGAAACTTAACCACTTTCAACTTTAGTTTCCTCATCTTTGAGATAGAATTCATGTCTTAGTCTGTTCAGGTAACTATGACAAAATACTATCATCTGAGTAGCTCATAAACAGTAGAAATTCATTTCTCAGGGTTCTGGAGGTTGTGAAGTCCGAGATCAAGGTGCTGGCTAATTTGGTTTCTGGTGAGGGCCTGCTTTCTGGTTCATAGACAGCGCCTCCTTGTTGTGTCCTCACATCGTGGAAGGGCCATGGCAACTCTCTCGGGCCTCTTTTATAAGGACATGAATCCCATTTATGAGAGCTCTGCCCTCATGATCTAATAACTTCCCAAAGGCCTCACCCCTTAATACCATCACACTGGTAATTAGGTTTTCAACATGTGAATTTTAGGGAGACACGAACATTCAGGCCATAGCAATTCGTAATAGTAGAAGTGCTTACTCTCAAATGATTAAATGACCTTATGCACATAATGTTCTTAGCACAGAGCCTAGCTTAAGGTAAGCACTTAATAAATGTTTGCTATTATCTATTGACTCTCAAAACAATATATTTGATACATAATTTATGACGTCTTTTCTTTCTGGTAGTATTATAGTTTAAAGAAACTGAGCTATTTCTAGGAATTCCTCTAACTCCACTGACAAGAATTCTATTGATAGTATATAAAGTAAATATATCTTTGCATATCTTAAAGGAGATATGAAAAGTAAGAAACACCTTACATATGGAATCATGCTCACTGTTAATCTAGTTACATGTGCCGCCAAGACAGATATCCAATAATACATTTTTATAATCAGCTGTCTGATTTTCTTATTCATGTTTATGCTCTTCACTCTCTTAGAGCAGCTGTATAACTCAGTGATTAAAATTATCTTATTATGGACTAGCATAGTGAATACAAAATGCATGTATGAAAATAACAAGATCTTGTATTAGGAAATGATTACAACATAGATCAGCAACAGCAATTTTGTACTCACTTGTCTTGATGAAACCCATTTTTGTTTTATAAATCATTAGATATTTTCAAACTCTGCAAAATAATGTAAATTGATGTTTTCCTTCCCAAAGTGCTAGTTAAAGTAAAATTTTGGTGACAATTATAATTGTAAATTGATCACAAGCTTTGAAATACCAAATGCAAATAAAGCAGCTCAAAGCACAGGACATCTGGAGCAGCCCAGCAATGCAACTTCTAGTTTTATTTCTGCAGTGCAAAATGTTCTAGTTGGGTAAACAGATTAACCTTTTTGGATGCAATTCGCACACTTGATTCAAATCCATGGGGAAAAGCACCTTTCAGTACTTGAGAATTCTAAATGCAATTGTGTCTCAAAAACTCTACACCAAGAGAGAAAAGGAACCAAAAAGAAACTTGGTCACTTTAAAAGCTGTCACAGTCACTACAAAGTGCAATATAATCCCATCGCTTGGGGCAGCACTAGCTTTGGAAGTGGAAGACCCAGTTTTAAGTTTTGTTCTGTATTTACTTTTGTGGTATCTTGGGATAGTCATCACATTTCTCTGAGTCTGTTTCCTCCTTTGTAAAGTGGAGAGTTGCTATGATGATTTGCTGATGGATGGACATGAAGCCATTGGTAAACTGAAAAACAATTTAAAATTATTAAATATGATAAGGTGTTGAGGCAATAATGATAGAGGCACAGAAGGAAAACACAGGTGACACAGGAAAACACAAGTGACAAGGGAGATAAAGAGAGACTCAATCTGTGTAACAGTCAGGCAGCATCAATGGCAGAGGGTCCTGCAGAGTTAGATATGTTCTCACTGCCTAGCCTGTAATTGTCATCTGTACCTTTGTAAAGCAGCTGGCTCATTGTAGACAATCAGTAAATCTTTCCTTATCTTCTTTCGGCTACTGACCCATGACTTAAATTTTATATTTGTGCTCATGTGGTTACTTAACTAATTAATTCAATGGTCATTTACCAATGTTCCTAGTCACACTGGTAGAGACGTGACCTCAATTCTGTCCTCATTATAGTCTGGGGTGAGGCAGACATTCAATCAATAATTTCTCCAAATATATAAATTATAAATTGTAATAAATGATCTAAATGAAAAGTACAAAAGCAAGCAATACAAGAACATTAAATTTGGAAGAGTTAGAAAAAAAATTTACCTTTTTATTAGTACTTTTATTTTTCAGGGATGTCTTCCTGTTCTCCAAAAATTAATGTAAGGTCATAAGCCTGACTCAGTTAGTTACAGTTTTTTTATAATCCTCCCAGCACCTCGGGAGATTCTTTGCCTGTAACAAGTACTCAATGTATATAAATTAATCAACTTTTTATATACATTGCTCTTTGGTAATTTTGTTCATCTTCATCCTTGAACAAAATGCAAAGGTTCTAAAATGTCAGAGCTCCAGATTCATTTAGATTCATAAATTGTGGGTTTCCAATATAAAACATTTAGTCTTGCCAAAGAACCTGGTACCATTTAGTTGCTTCATTATTAAGAAACAATGATTATAGTGAACCCTGGCATTGTTTATTTTTGGTAAGAAACCATAACCAGACAAGACAAAAATACCTAATCTAAAGAAGTATGACTCCTAATCAACTACAAATCAGGCCAAAATAGATGGATCTTATAGAACGTATCACTGATAGATCCATGGCCAGTGAGAAAGCTGAAATCAAGTTGAGGACAGTGCCTTTCTTCTCAAATGTTTACCAACGGATGAATGGATTAAACAAAATGTGGCATATACATACAATGAAATATACTATTTGGCCTTAAAAAACAATAAAATTCTAATGCATGCTACAACATAGATGAAGCTTGAAGATACTATGCCAAGGGAAATAAGCCAAACACAAAAGGACAATATTCTATGAGTCTACTTATATTCAGTGTCTAGAATAGCCAAGTGTGTAGAGACAAAACGTAGAATGGTGGTTGCCAGGAACTTAAGGCAGCTGGAAATGTGGAATTATTGTTTAATGGGTAAAGAGTTTCAGTTTGGAAAAATGAAAATATTCTGGAGATGGATGGTCATGATGGGTGCCCAACAGTGTTAATGTACTTAATGTCACCAAACTCTTTAAAAATGTTTAAAGCAATAAATTTTGTTATATATATTTTACACAATAAGAAAATATGTCAGTTCTTTTGCAGCACACAAAATAACTGTTAGAAAATTATTTTAAAGTGTATATAAGTTTTTTCTTAAATCTTGGGGTTCAGGTCTTTTCATGTGGGGTAAGAATTTGGTGTGCCTTAAATCTGTGATTAAAATAGCACCATTTCATGATTTACTTATAAATAATTTGATAATCTTGCTAAAAGTGTTTTGTTTTATCAGATAGTTTAATCCTCATGATAATCTGTTTTTCCATATTTGCTTCCAGGGCGTTACAAAGTAAGCTTCAGCTCTGCCCAAATTGGTCAGATTAGTCAGGTCCTGACTTATCCAATTCTGCTTTTCCAAAGCTTTTCTACAAGCTCCCAGCCAATTCCTAATAAGATAGGCCAGACAGCAGTAGTTGCAGAAGGCAGTGGTGATAGCAGTCATAGTCATCACCCTCATCATAGTTGCAGTTGTAGTAGAAATAACTGATATTTACATTGAGTGCTTACTACATACTAGGAGTTGGTTTAATCGCATTATATATATTCTCGTTTATTTCCTTGACAACCATATGAGGTAGTACTATTTTTATCTCACAAGCCTCAGAGAAGTTAAATAACATTCCCAAGTTTACCCAGCTGTTATTGTGGAAGCAAGACAAAAACACAGATGGTTAAATTTCAGAATCTATGCTTTTAGCTAATAAGCATTGCTACCTCCTTTAGTAATATCCACCATGTATTTGGTATTTACTATGTGCCAGGACCTGTGCTCTATGCTTTTCACACATTATTTCCACAACAACACTGACCAGTTGGTTTAGTAGCAGACAAGACTTGTGGAATCTGTTCATTCATTGACCTTTTTCACTTTCTTCAAGGATGGACACCTGCAACTAGGTATATATATTGGAACTCTCCCAATCTAGTGAAAGCTGCCTAAATTAGAGGTAGTGAAGAGCTCTCAGTCCCTCCAAATACTTCCATCTCACACTTGCATACTTAGAAATGTCACAGAAGTTACCATTTTGACTGTAACCATTGGTTATTATTCCCTCAAACGCTCATCAATTTCCGCTCTTTATTGAAAACCTAGGTTTAAGCAATAATTTTAAAATCAGGTTCCTCTTTACCAGCATTGTTCTGCATTTATGAAAGCTTCAAGCTTTTTGCCACAGTAATCAGGTTTATATGGTACCCTGACTCCACTGCAGTGTTGGAAATTTATATTAAGGCTAGCATTTTGATTTAAAAGTTTTGACAATTAATTACATGATCTTTCTCAACTAGAAAGTCAGAAAAATCTCTATTTTAAGAGTACTGCACAGAAATGAACTGAGTCACCTATGGGTCATTTTAAGAAGAGTTCCACTAATTCAACGTCTGATAGCCTAACAAAAATACCTACTGCAAAAAAATTACTAATGAGAGGAAAAGGGTGAGGGTTGAAAAATAACCTATTGAGCACAATGTTCACTATTTGGGTGATGGGTACATTAGAAGTCCAATCACTACCAATACTCAATATATCCATGTAACAAACATATACATGTATCCCCTAAATCTAAAATAAAATAATATTTAAAAGGTAATGTATTAAATTATGAATATATTAAAAAACTTGAAAAGGAGACCCAGAATAGGGCTATGAGCTAGAAAAATCAAAAGATTAGAACTTAGTATTATCTAATGCTGTCATATATGAAATTAACAAATGCTCTAATAATTTTTAAACTAATACTATGCAGTTAATTCATATCTATAATGTGCTTAAAACTTCTTGGAACAATTTTTTTTTAAATTGTTTTCCAAAGCATGAAAAAATTATACATAAATGTGTCATCAATTGGGCAAACCTTACTGCTCCTTCATTCCCCCATCCTCATCTCTCCAGCTTTCAAAAATCTGAAAAATAAAATTACTTCTATATGAAAAAATTCTTGACAATATTAATATGAACTTTTTAACCTCATCTACAGCTCTATTGTTTTGCTCAAAGAATTATCTCATCATCACCAACTACATTTGTATTCTTACTTATAATTTGGTAAAGAAACTCCAAAGAAGCAAAGAAAATTTTAAGAAGTTTCTCAAAACATCTGTTGGTCTATTTTAGATATGTCTGTACCATGGCATTATACAACAGGGTTTCACAGGCTCTACATCCTAGTTACAATGCATTAATTACCTTACTGATTAGCAAGGGATATTCAAATAACTTGTTTCAGTTAATGCAGACTTTATCTCTCCATCCACCATCAATACTACAGTGAAGACATTGAGTAGAAAATGCATATAATGGAATGAGGGCAATGGTGTGGGAACAGACTTTCTGTATGACCAAGAGTTTTATCTGCATTCAGTCAAAAACAGAAATTAAGAAATTTAATTTCATTGGAAAATGATATCAAATCATTTGTTTGATTTGATGAGTCAGTTGAATCAAAATAACTTAAAACAGCTTTGTAAGCAGAAACTGAATATTTTGGATGCTATAATTAAAAATCAATACTAACAGATATATATAGATACCATAATGTCATTAATAAAAGATACTGAAATGAACGTGCCTTTCCCTGATGATTAGTAGTGACATTGAACATTTTTCATGAACCTGTTGGCCATTCGTATGTCTTTTCAAGTCCTTTGCCCATTTAAAAAATTGGATTGTTTTCTTGCTATTGAGTTGTTTCAGTTCCTTATGTATTTTGGATATTATCCCTTATTAGATGTGTGGTTTGCAAATATTTTCTCCCATTCCATAGGTTGTCTCTTCACTCTGTTGATTGTTTCCTTTGCTGTGCAGAAGCTTTTTAGTGTGATGCAATAGCATTTGTCTAATTTTGCATTTGTTTCCTGTGCTTTTTGGATCATATCCAGAAAATCTTTGCCCATTATCAAGAAGCTTTTCCCCTATGTTTTCTTCTAGTAGTTTCACAGTCTCAGGTCTTATGTTTTAGTTTTTAATCCAAGTGGATGAATCTAAAAAAAAGAAATCAAACTCAAAGAAGCAGAAAGTATAATGATGGCTACCAGGGACTGGGGTGGGCAGGTGACAGGGATTGGGAAGACCCTGGTGAAAGGCTTACAAAATTTCAGTTAAACAGGAGGTATAACTTCAGGAGATCTATTGCACAGCCTGATGACTCTTTAATAACAATGTATTGTGTACTTGAAAATTGCTAAGAGAGTAGACTTTAAATATTCTCACTACAAAGAAATAAGTATGTGAGGTAATGGATACATATATCAAAACATCATGCTGTGTACCATAAATATGTATAATTTTTATCAATTTAATTATTTAAAAAAATAAATGTGTATCTTTTTTTAAAAATCCAAATTAAATATCTTAAGTCTAATTTCATCACAATGTTTTGAGATTTGTTGTTGCTGTTGTTTTATATTGACATATACTTGGCATCAATAAGGCTACAAACAGCTTTTATTGTCTTGAGTTGAGGCTTACACAACTCAGATTGATCATATTCACCTGGTGGCTTAGAATAGTTTTGGATTTTACAGTATCCAATCTTCAGAAAGACTTACTTTATCTATCTCATGAAAGGTTTAGAATCATGAAAGCTCCTAAAGGGAAAAACACTAGAAAATAATTTGGTGTTTTGCCTTGAAGTGAATATATCTGCATAACAATATGTTATTTCTGCAGCAAGAATGCTAACAAATAAAAAGTATTTTTGGTCATCCAGGTGGACTTACCATGAAAGTCTCATGGGAAGGCAGGTTTTTTTTTTTGTTTGTTTTGTTTTGCTGTTTCCTAAATTATGTGAACAGCTGAAAACCTTTTTTAAGTGAAGAAATCAAAACAATTTTTAAGCTCAGAATACATGATAATTTTTAATAAATACAGGAAAATGGGTTGACATCAACAACCCAAGTTCATTAATGTGCTTTTCTCAATTCAGGTGTGCACTGAAAATAATGAATGAAAGATCAGAAATTATAACAAACTGTCTCTCAGACCACAGTGCAATCAGACTAGAATTCAGGATTAAGAAACTCACTCAAAACCGCTCAACTACATGGAAACTGAACAAACTGCTCCTGAATGACTACTGGGTACATAACAAAATGAAGGCAGAAATACAGATGTTCTTTGAAACCAACGAGAACAAAGACACAACATACCAGAATCTCTGGGACACATTCAAAGCCGTGTGTAGAGGAAAATTTATAGCACTAAATGCCCACAAGAGAAAGCAGGAAAGATCCAAAATTGACACCCTAACATCACAATTAAAAGAACTAGAAAAGCAAGAGCAAACACATTCAAAGCTAGCAGAAGGCAAGAAATAACTAAAATCAGAGCAGAACTGAAGGAAATAGAGACACAAAAAACCCTTCAAAAAATTAATGAATCCCGGAGCTGGTTTTTTGAAAGGATCAACAAAATTGACAGAATGCTAGCAAGACTAATAAAGAAGAAAAGAGAGAAGAATCAAATAGATGCAATAAAAAATGATAAAGGGGATATCACCACCGATCCCACAGAAATACAAACTACCATCAGAGAATACTACAAACACCTCTATGCAAATAAACTAGAAAATCTAGAAGAAATGGATAAATTTCTCAACACATACGCCCTCCCAAGACCAAACCAGGAAGAAGTTGAATCTCTGAATACACCAATAACAGGCTCTGAAATTGTGGCAATAATCAATAGCTTACCAACCAAAAAGAGTCCAGGACCAGATGGATTCACAGCCGAATTCTACCAGAGGTACAAGGTGGAACTGGTATGATTCCTTCTGAAACTATTCAAATCAGTAGAAAAAGAGGGAATCCTCCCTAACTCATTTTATGAGGCCAGCATCATCCTGATACCAAAGCCTGGCAGAGACACAACTAAAAAAGAGAAATTTAGACCAATATCCTTGATGAACATTGATGCAAAAATCCTCAATAAAATACTGGCAAACCAA
The DNA here is from genome assembly GCF_000001405.40 of Homo sapiens. Classification (NCBI taxonomy): domain Eukaryota; kingdom Metazoa; phylum Chordata; class Mammalia; order Primates; family Hominidae; genus Homo; species Homo sapiens. The sequence goes on along the minus strand of NC_000001.11, from coordinate 66,106,330 downwards.
ATCCAGCAGCACATCAAAAAGCTTATCCACCATGATCAAGTGGGCTTCATCCCTGGGATGCAAGGCTGGTTCAATATACACAAATCAATAAATGTAATCCAGCATATAAACAGAACCAAAGACAAAAACCACGATTATCTCAATAGATGCAGAAAAGGCCTTTGACAAAATTCAACAATGCTTCATGCTAAAAACTCTCAATAAATTAGGTATTGATGGGATGTATCTCAAAATAATAAGAGCTATCTATGACAAACCCACAGCCAATATCATACTGAATGGGCACAAACTGGAAGCATTCCCTTTGAAAACTGGCACAAGACAGGGATGCCCTCTCTCACCACTCCTATTCAACATAGTGTTGGAAGTGCTGGCCAGGGCAATTAGGCAGGAGAAGGAAATAAAGGGTATTCAATTAGGAAAAGAGGAAGTCAAATTGTACCTGTTTGCAGATGACATGATTCTATATCTAGAAAACCCCATTGTCTCAGCCCAAAATCTCCTTAAGCTGATAAGCAACTTCAGCAAAGTCTCAGGATACAAAATCAATGTACAAAAATCACAAGCATTCTTATACACCAATAACAGACAAACAGAGAGCCAATCATGAGTGAACTCCCATTCACAATTGCTTCAACGAGAATAAAATACCTAGGAATCCAACTTACAAGGGACGTGAAGGACTTCTTCAAGGAGAACTACAAACCACTGCTCAAGGAAATAAAAGAGGATACCAACAAATGGAACAACATTCCATGCTCATGGGTAGGAAGAATCAGCATCATGAAAATGGCTATACTGCCCAAGGTAATTTATAGATTCAATGCCATCCCCATCAAGTTACCAATGACTTTCTCCACAGAATTGGAAAAAACTACTTTAAAGTTCATATGGAACCAAAAAAGAGCCCGCATCGCCAAGTCAATCCTAAGCCAAAAGAACAAAGCTGGAGGCATCACGCTACCTGACTTCAAACTATACTACAAGGCTACAGTAACCAAAATAGCATGGTACTGGTACCAAAACAGAGATATAGATCAATGGAATAGAACAGAGCCCTCAGAAATGATGCCACATATCTACAACTATCTGATCTTTGACAAACATGACAAAAACAAGAAATGGGGAAAGGATTCCCTATTTAATAAATGGTGCTGGGAAAACTGGCTAGCCATATGTAGAAAGCTGAAACTGGATCCCTTCCTTATATCTTATACAAAAATTAATTCAAGATGGATTAAAGACATAAACGTTAGACCTAAAACCATAAAAATCCTAGAAGAAAACCTAGGCATTACCATTCAGAACACAGGCATGGGCAAGGACTTCATGTCTAAAACACCAAAAGCAATGGCAACAAAAGCCAAAATTGACAAATGGGATCTAATTAAACTAAAGAGCTTCTGCACAGCAAAAGAAACTACCATCAGAGTGAACAGGCAACCTACAAAATGGGAGAAAATTTTCGCAACCTACTCATCTGACAAAGGGCTAATATCCAGAATCTACAATGAACTCAAACAAATGTACAAGAAAAAAACAAACAACCCCATCAAAAAGTGGGCGAAGGACATGAACAGACACTTCTCAAAAGAAGACATTTATGCAGCCAAAAAACACATGAAAAAATGCTCACCATCACTGGCTATCAGAGAAATGCAAATCAAAACCACAATGAGATACCATCTCACACCAGTTAGAATGGCAATCATTAAAAAGTCAGGAAACAACAGGTGCTGGAGAGGATGTGGAGAAGTAGGAACACTTTTACACTGTTGGTGGGACTGTAAACTAGTTCAACCATTGTGGAAGTCAGTGTGGCGATTCCTCAGGGATCTAGAACTAGAAATACCATTTGACCCAGCCATCCCATTACTGGGTATATACCCAAAGGACTATAAATCATGCTGCTATAAAGACACATGCACACGTATGTTTATTGCGGCACTATTCACAATAGCAAAGACTTGGAACCAACCCAAATGTCCAACAATGATAGACTGGATTAAGAAAATGTGGCACATATACACCATGGAATACTATGCAGCCATAAAAAAGGTTGAGTTCATGTCCTTTGCAGGGACATGGATGAAATTGGAAATCATCATTCTCAGTAAACTATCGCAAGAACAAAAAACCAAACACCATATATTCTCACTCATAGGTGGGAATTGAACAACGAGAACGCATGGACACAGGAAGGGGAACATCACACTCTGGGGACTGTTGGAGGGTGGGGGGAGGGAGGAGGGATAGCTTTAGGAGATATACCTAATGCTAAATGACGAGTTAATGGGTGCAGCACACCAGCATGGCTCATGTATACATATGTAACTAACCTGCACATTGTGCACATGTAACCTAAAACTTAAAGTATAATAATAATAAAATAAAGAAATAATAAAAAAATAATGCCTCTCGATCTTAATTTCATTTGTAGGTAGTTGGTATGTTTTTGTGCAATACAGTGGGCAATGATTTCCCATTTCCTAGAAAGTAATGGAGCATATGATTCAGTATAAAAAGATTTTTGTAATGAAAAGTGAATTTCATTCAGAGACCACATGGAAGCCCAAGAAGTTCCAACAGATTGCACAGGGGGAAATCTCTAGAGCAAATTTTTGTGTATAATGATTGTCACACCAACTGAATGCTATGGAAATACCTTATTTATCTATTTGTATTTATTTGCTTTCTTTTTTACCTGTGAGTTTTATACCATACTAAACCAATAAGTTTAAAAGGATTGCCATGATGTTCACTAGAAAAGCCAAGGCTGCTTCTAGAGCTTTATCATGCTAAATTATTGTCTAAACCATATCACTATTAATATGTATGGGAGAATATTCAATTTCACTAAAAGAGAAACTCTAAGACCATTTTCAATGGCACATATGCTGGCCTCATATCAAAAGATTAAGACATATAATAGGAAGCAGGATAAGAAAAAGAAATCTGAAGAAAGGAAAAGGACAAATATTGTAAAGTTCCAACTCTTTGGAGAAATACATTCAGCATCAGTTTTATTGCAGGTCCTTGAACTTCCTGAAGATACAGAGAGGGATGAAGCAATGTAAATAAATTTGCGTGAGGCAGGATTTCTCTTACCCCACAATGCTCAACAATAGCAACAACTCATTTCAACCTTTCGGTGAAGACTCATAGTGATTCTTTAGCAAAAGATGCCAATTCTAAATAAAATCAACAATTTAAAAACACATTTACAAAGCATTCCTACAACTCAGTTCTCCTAGGGAGAAAAAGTAATTCTACTTCAGTGCTAATAATGAGCTTTAATTGATCAGTTTTATAAAAAAATACTGTTTTCATAAAGAACCATAGGATCCTTCCTTTTATATAATTAATTTCCTTAGAAGTAGACTGTGGTTTATTCTCTGGTATACATACCTGTAATGGGAAAATAATACTATTGTAACAATATTTAAGGCACAATAACTAAACTATTTGAAACCTTGGCATATTAGTAATTTGAATAGTAGGTTTCTGCTTTCTAGAACTGCCTGTTATTAATTTCCTGTCATTGATAAAGTCCTGTACTGACTCAAGAAAGTGAGTCTCAGTCTTTTCAACTGGAAATTGAAGAAGTAGATCTAAAGGATCTTGCAGATCCCTTATATTTGTGTTTTTTTCTAATACAAAAGATATTTGTTTCCTGTATTAAATAAATATGAAAGTCTAATATAGAAAAAGAGATATATTTTGTACGCATTTTAGCAGAAGGCATCTGTTAGGATTTTAGAATAGCCCCGGGGATTTTTCTCATAAGTCCAAAATGTAAGATTAAAAGGCCTTAATGGCAACTTTCCAAAACATCAACATCTCTAAACCAACAATACTGCTCACTTCACCAGCTATACTTACAGCAAAATGAATTTCAATATTTCCCATGTGCTGCTAGAATAATAAATTCTGATTTACAGAATTCAGTCTGTCTGGTACTAGTTACATTTTCATCACATTTCAAAATAAAGAATATTTAGGTATACACATCCATTCTCCCCGAAAACACGATGATGAAATTCCATATTTAAAGGAGAATATTTGTATGATGCAGAAATCTTCTTCTTAAAAACAAAAACAAACCCAAAAAACTCTAAAAGATCTTAGATTATAGAGATATAGACCAATGGAACGGAATAGAGGCCTCAGAAATAGTACCACACATCTACAAACAACTGGTCTTTGGCAAACATGACAAAAACAAGAAATGGGGAAAGGATTCCCTATTTAATAAATGGTGCTGGGAAAACTGGATAGCCATATGTAGAAAGCTGAAACTGGATCCCTTCCTTACACCTTATACAAAAATTAATTCAAGATGGATTAAAGACTTAAATGTTAGAACTAAAAGCATAAAAACTCTAGAAGAAAACTTAGGCAATACCATTCAGGACATAGGCATGGGCAAGGACTTCATGACTAAAACACCAAAAACAATGGCAACAAAAGCCAAAATTGACAAATGGGATCTAATTAAACTAAAGAGCTTCTGCACAGCAAAAGAAACTACCATCAGAGTGAACAGGCAACCTACAGAATGGGAGAAAATTTTTGCAATCTACTCATCTGACAAAGGGCTAATATCCAGAATCTACGAAGAACTCAAACAAATTAACAAGAAAAAAACAAACAACCCCATCAAAAAGTGGGCAAAGGATATGAACAGACACTTCTCAAAAGAAGACATTTATGCAGCCAACAGACACATGAAAAAATGCTCATCATCACTGGCCATCAGAGAAATGCAAATCAAAACTACAGTGAGATACCATTTCACACCAGTTAGAATGGCGATCATTAAAAAGTCAGGAAACAACAGGTGCTGGAGAGGATGTGGAGAGATAGGAATGCTTTTACACAGTTTGTGGGACTGTAAACTAGTTCAACCATTGTGGAAGACAGTGTGGTGATGCCTCAAGGATCTAGAACTAGAAATACCATTTGACCCAGCCATCCCGTTACTGGACATATACCCAAAGGATTATAAATCATGCTGCTATAAAGACACATGCACATGTATGTTTATTGTGGCACTATTCACAATAGCAAAGACTTGAAACCAACCCAAATGTCCAACAATGATAGACTGGATTAAGAAAATGTGGCACATATACACCATGGAATACTATGCAGCCATAAAAAAGGTTGAGTTTATGTCCTTTCTAGGAAGATGGATGAAGCTGGAAACCGTCATTCTCAGCAAACTATCGCAGGGACAAAAAATCAAACACCGCATGTTCTCACTCATAGGTGGAAATTGAACAATGACAACACTTGGACACTGGAAGGGGAACATCACACACTGGGGCCTGTTGTGGGGTGGGGGGAGGATGGAGGGATAGCATTAGGAGATATGCCTAATGTAAATGACGAGTTAATGGGTACAACACACCAACATGGCACATGTATACATATGCAACAAACCTGCACGTTGTGCACATGTACCCTAGAACTTAAAGTATAATAAAAAATAAAAATAAAAAAATTACTGGGTTCTATTCAAATTAACTATTAAAATACAAAGATAAAAACTCAAAAGCTTACAGTTTAGCATAGCCACAGATAATTAATAGTAAAGGCATTAGGCATCTTTATTCAGCAATAATGTTGCTTTGGGGATGTGCAGTTAACCTCCACACATAGAATACTCTCCTCACAACAACAGTGAAGCTGGAAAGTATTTTTCATGAGTTCAAACACAGCTGGCTACCAGTGGAAATTCTGGCAAGCTACAGACAATTCAGGCTAAACTTAAACATATCTATGATTAGATTAATCATAGAGGATTCACTTTTTAAATTCATTTATTGATTAAGTGAATATTTATTAAGCATTTACATGTACTAGTCATTGTTCTAAGACTCATGGATACTGTTTGAACACATCAGCCCAAATCCCTATCCTCACAGATCTTACTTTGAAATTAAGGTTAGAAGTGAAAGAAAAATTTGAACACAGGCTGGACACAGTGGCTCACACCTGTAATCCCAGCACTTTAGGAGGCCAAGGCGGGCTGATCACCTGAGGTCAGGAGCTCGAGACCAGCCTGGCCAACATGAGGAAACCCCATCTCTACTAAAAATACAAAAACTAGTCAGCGTGGTGGTGCGCACCTGTAGTCACAGTTACTTGGGAGGCTGAGGAAGGAGAATTGCTTGAACTCAGGAGGGGGAGACTGCAGTGAGCCGAGATCCCACCACAGAACTTCAGCCTGGGCAACAGAGCAAGACTCTGTCTCAAATGTACATATATATGTGTCTGTATATATACATATAGACACAAACAGAGTAAGAGAATAAAATATAAACAGGTAATTGTATTTTAGGAAACATGGCCAGGGAAGACTTCTTTGATGAAGTGATGTTAAAGGAAGGGCTTGAATTAAGTAAGAAACATGAGAGATTATCTGAGTATGGTGTCTTGCAGGAAGCGGCAGCATTTCAAGCAGAGAAAGCAATCTGTTCTGACTGAATCAATACAAAATCAAATTCATAAGTGATTGCTCCATGACAAGACCACATCTCTGTCAGTTTATTTTTTGGCGCCCACCTCAACATTTTATATATTGTAGGTGTCAATATGTGCTTGGGACTGAGATAAATGGACTTGTAATCAATTTCTTGCATATGTTCACTAGCTTAGTCTATTAGCAATTACTTTCATTTTATCAGAGTTTACTGAATATCAACTATGTGTTTAGGATTGCCAAAATAGAAAAACAATTTTATTCACTCATTGTTTTAAAATGTAATTCTTCCATTAAAAATCAAAATGACATAAAGAAAAAGGAATTAGAACAATGAAGTTGAAATAAGAGTCAAAACTACCAAAAACACATTAAGTGGCATCCACTAATGTATTACTTCAATACATGCATGTATATGTTCACTGAAGCACTATTCACAATAGCAAATACATGGAATCAACCCAAATACCCATCAATGATAGGTTGGATAAAGAAAATGTGGTACATATACACCATGGAGTACTATGCAGCCATACAAAAGAATGAGATCATGTCCTTTGTAGGAACATGGATGGAGCTGGAAGCCATTATCCTCAGCAAACTAACACAGGAACAGAAAATCAAGCACCGCATGTTCTCACTTATAAGTTGGAGCTGAACCATGAGAACCCATGGACACGGGGGCGGGGGAACAACATACACTGGGGCCATACCTAGGTGATGAGTTGATAGGTGCAGCAAACCACCATAGCACACGTTTACCTATGTAACAAACCTGCACATGCTGCACATGTATCCCAGAACTTAAAATGAAATGAAATTGTTTAAAAAAATTTTCAAGATTTTCACCAAGCCAGGAACAAAGGATCTGAGAATTACATTTAGTAGTAGGAAGTGATGGAGATGTGTTACGGTAATTCAATTCTCACTGTATCTATATTTGTGTGTGCATGTGTTACCAGAAGGTGTGATGTTTTTGTATGGCCTTAGTGAAAGCTAAAAGCACAATAATGAAATATAGCTGAGCAAAGCCATTTGTGGGAGAGTTAAAGAAAAGTACTCCAATTAAGTTGCTTTTTAATGCTCTAATTTGATTTAGAAATGAAACCTTACAAATTTAGCAACAGGTACGCCCATTATAGTCTTTAGACTTTCTTTCTTGAATGTTAAAGTGTTAATATTTCTAACTGGGTTTTACTTGGAACCTAGGGAGCAAAAATTTAAAACTAACCTCTTGAAGACCCATGCAGAGTGCCCATGTTTTGAACTGTCAATGGAAAGGAAAAACTCAGGCTGCATATGTAACCTTTGCAGGCTTCAGAGATGATATTTTATTTCAAAGTTAAAATATCTAGCCTTATGCTTCCAGCCATGATGGAATAATGAAATAGAAAATCTATGAAATGATGGATCATGATTCCTGAGAAAAGGTAAAGAAGCAGGGTGAGTTCAATGAACGTCCAGTGTACAGCCTGAAAGCAGTTGCTAGGCTGCAGTGCAGAGATGGGGAACCCAGACAGAGACTGGCATTTGTTCTGAGTTAAGGTAGAGATCAGAGTTTATGGAAGGCCAAATGGCTATAATTGCAAGAACAAGTACCAGAGATGAAGGAGCTGCACTGAGATAGAGCTCTGAGAATCTGCTGAGGCATCCCTTTGAGTCTGGCTGAAGATTGATATGCAATTGTGTGAGAGGAAACTACCCAATGCTGAAGAAAGAACCTGACTCTGAACAACTGTCAGAGCTTACATAGAGTTAGTCTTAATTCATGTTTCTACCAAGCAGTGTGTTTACATGGAGCATCCGCAAGAATCATTATATAGTTATCACCATAGTAGTAACCCTAGACTAATTGGTGCTCTGGGCCAATTCTAATAAAGGTTAAAAGTAAGCTTCAGAAGGATCAAACTGATTCAAAAAGTATCCCAATGGTGCCAGAACAAAATCTATCACCACTTTAAAAAATACAAAAAAAAAAAAACCCAGCAGCAAACAATGTATTATCTAAAAAGTCCAATAATTAATAAAAAGATAGAAAAACGAGGACAATAAACAATAGAGAAATAAACAAATTAAAAGACTAAAAATAACAGATATAATAGAATTTGTAGACAAGGATCTTTTTAAAAAAGTACTACAAATGTTTCATTTGTTCAAGAAGATAGAGAGAAAGAGTAATATAAAATAATGGAAGAAAAAAGTATAGGCTATAACCAAGAGCCAACTGGAAATTTAGAGAAGAAAATCTGCAATGAAAAATTACAATGCATTGTATTGCCATGATATTAAACACTGCAGAAAAAAAAGTAAATTTGAAGATGTAAAAATAGAAACTATCATATCCAGTGTTTATAAATAACTTCACCCTTTCAACTCAATTAGAAGACAAATAACATTTAAAAATGGGCAACAGATTTGATTGACACATTTCACCAAGGAAGAAATATGAATGGCAGGCAAATAAACACATACAAATATCTTCAACATCATTAGTTATAAAGGAAAACATAAATGAAAACCATCACAATGTGATACCAAAGACATCCACTTGAATGGCTAAAATTTAATAAGACTGACAATACAAAGCTGTTGAAAATGTGGAACAACTTAAACTCCCATACATTACTAGTGGAGATGTAAAGTATTATAACCACTTTGGAAAACAGTTTGGCAGTTTCTTCTAAAGTTGAACGTATACTTATTATGCCATCCAGTAATCCCCTTCTGATATATTTATCCAGTAGAAATGAAAAACTATGTCCATACAAAACTTGTACTCACATGTTCATGCCAGCTTCATTAAGAATCAAAAACTGGAAACAACCCAAATGTCCATTAGCTGAGAAGTACATAAATAAATTATGGAATATCCATGATAAATACCACTCAACAATAAAGGAACAAACAGCTGATTCATAAAAACATGGATGACTCTCAGAAGCATTATGCTGACCAGATATGAAAAACTACACACTATTTGATGTTCTAAAAAAGGCAAAACTATAGTGACAGAGGGAATATCAGTGATCACCAAGAGTTCAGGTGCAGGAAGGAGATTGTTTAGAAAGTGGCAAGGAATAAGTTTTTAGAAGTGGTCACAATGTTCTATGAAAACATTGCCCAATAGAAATATAGTGCCAGTCACATATGTAATTTGAATATTTTACTAGCTATATTTAAAAGTAAAAAAGTAAGATTAATTTAAATATACTTACTTGATATATAAAAATATGGTCAATATATAATCAACATAAATTATTAATGAGATATTTAAATTTTATACTAAGCCTTTGAAATGCAGTATATATATATATATATATATATATATATATATAATTTTTTTTACTTATACCGCATTTAATTAGGACTAGCCCCATTTCAAGTGATCAGTAGCCACAAGTGGCAGCCATTTTGGACAAAGTAGTCTATGTCATAATTGTGGTGGTTGTTATGCAACTGTATGCATTTGTCGAAACTCATAGAATTGTACATTTAAAGTTGATACTGTTTATTGCATGTAAATGATCTCTCAACAAAGCAGTTTCAGTGAAAAAACCCAGGAACAGAAAGTTAAAAACTGCATGTTCTCACTCATATGAGGAAGCTAAAAATGTTGATCTTATAGAAGTGAAAAATAGAACAGAGGATACTAGAGGCTAGGAAGGGTAAGGAAAAGGGTATATGCACAGATTTTTTAAAGGATACAAAATTATAGCTAGATAGGGGAAATAAGTCAAAGTGTTCTATAGCACTGTAGGATGACTATAGTCAACAATAATATACAGTTTCAAATAGCTAGAAGGAGAATATTGGATGTTCCTAACACAAAGCAATGATAAGTTAGGAGGATAATGGATATACTGATTATCCTGATCTCATCAATACACATTATATGTATTGAAATATCATTATGTAGCCCATAAACATTTACAATAGCATGTATTGATTAAAAGTATAAAATAAAATATTTAAAAATTTAAGAAGCAGTTAAAGTAGTTGATTTGTGGGTTAACATAAAAGACCTTTTCTCCCACACTTGAAGGTGAAGCTCGAGGATACAGAAGAAACACAAAAACAATCAAACAAGAAACAAATCCCTGTGAGATGATTGTTATGATCTAATTGGGAAAGCAAGAGTGATACATATGATATTACACAGCAATCCATGACATCATATATCATAGAGAACTAGCATGGTTCACACTAGGAGTTCAGCAAATTGGCTATGGCTATTAATATCACAGATTCTGAGTTGGAATAACAACAGACATATGGAGAAATTGGCAGGTTATTTTTCTGTGAATCTTGTCACTACTTAGTACTTTTTTAGTTCAAGGCAAGAAATATAATAATCAGGGAACCTGATTTGTATCCCAGGTATTCCACTATTAGCTATGTGACACAGTTCCTTTGACCTTAGTTTCCTCTCCAGAATTACAGTAATTGCGCCATATGTCAATTGCCTCATACATACTCAATGCTATGTTAGACACAATACATCATTTATTTCTCTCTACAATGTAATTTGGCAGGTATGACTACCCAAATTTTATAGATAAGCAAACTGAGACTTAAATAAGTTATTTGCTCAAGATTGCAAGCTATAATAGCAAGTATATAATTGAATTTAAAAAAAGACTCTTCTAGTTCAAAAAGTCTATGTACACTCTACTGAATAATATTACCTCTCAAAGTGGAGTTTAAACTAGATGTTCACCAAGATGAATGATGCTTGTAGCACAGAATAGTAATTAAGAACTCAAATTCTAAGGGCATACAGGTCAAGGCTGAAATTCCACCTTTGCTTTCCAAAGGTGTGATCTTGGAAATTTTACTTAACCAGTCAGTCTCAGTTTCTTCCAACTGTCTAGTATGCAATGGTTAAATGCAAAGACTTTAGAGTCAGACTGCACAGGTTCATTGCTTAATAGTTGTATTACCTTGGGAAAATTACTTAACCCCTATATTCCTCAGTTTCCCCCATTTAAAAACAGAGGCATAATATTTATGTCTGCAAAGGTTATGAGGACAAAATATGCTAATATGAGTCAAGCATTTAGAATGCCAGCTGGCCCTATAAATGTTAGCTACTATTATGGTGCTTTAGATGAATTCAGATATCACTTTAAGTTCTAATGTTCCATGATTCTGGAATTAATAAAATACTGTGCAAACAACAGAGAACCATCTTTACTATGAAATTAACCCAGTTTGTGTCTTTGCCTTAAACAATTCTAAAGTGATTCTCAAAGTTCGTAAGCCAAGAGAGTGGCTTTTAGTTTTTAAAGGACTAAATCAGCTTTGCACAGTAGCAATATCATAGCCAATGAGGTTTATCTGAGGCGCAGTCATTGCTAATTGAAAACTTTAAAGGACTAAATCTTAATGCAGAAAAGAAGTTGATTTTAACACAATTGTTCATATTAAATGAGGCTAGATTTGGATTTATATAGTTTCAGCTGCATAGCTCCTTGACTAAATGGTAGATCTTTGAGTCTCTTCTGTTATACAAGGATTGTAAACTCAGTTTATTAGCTTGAAAAATCATTAATCACTAAGTTTTCAGAAAATCTGAAGCGCAGTCATTTCTCCAACCTACCAAGCATGCTGTATGTCTCAGTATTTGAGATTTCTCCTCACTCTGCCTTGAATTGTCTTCCTCCATTTATCACTCCTTAGCTTCTTTCTGGTCTCTAGTCAGATTTCACTGCCTCAGGGAGGCCTTACTTGATCACTTTTTAATGCTCTCATCCATTTCTCTTCATATTATTTCTTGCTGCCTGACTATGAATTATAATTTATTAGATTATGTGTTTTTGTCTATTTCCCATGATATCAAGGACTTTGTTCAATGGAATATCCAGAATACCTAAAACTGTGCCTGGCATATAGGAGAAGTTCAATAAAAAATTGATTGAATGAATGAAAGAACATCAAGGGCCCAAATGATTTCTGGGTCCCTTCTACTTTTCCATATTTGTCTTAATGATATGAGCGGCATAAGTTGTGTTATGCTTTTTTTCCCCTCATCTCAATGCAGAATTGAATACGTCAAATACCAAATGCATCACTTTCAAAATGATTGCTAAGCATGTGATTTTAAAGATAACTTAATAAAGTTTCTTGGATAAATAAATACATAAATAAGTGGTTCTATTTAAATAAAGTTAAAGAAGGCATTTTCTTCAACTAAGTTAGGCTTAGTATAGCTTATTGGTTAGAAGCCTCAGGAAAGCAAGATTGGGATAAATATCTTCCTCTCTCATTGGCTGTGGTCAGCTATGACATACGGTCCATATTGATATCAAGACTCTGACCCAAGTTACTGCACAGAAGAGTGGAAATATAATGTATTACACTGAAAAAAAAGCACAATTTTAGAACTCAAGAAAGTCCTAGATTTTAATCCCAGCCTCACTGGTATCATGTCATCCAGGGTATGCTTTTTACACTTTCTATTTCTCAGTTTCTTAATATAAAAAGGGAGAAAGCAATACCCACCTCATCATGTGGTTTTTAGAATTAAATGAAATAATGTATATACAAATACGTAATAAAATCATCTTAAATAAGTGCTATTTTCTCCACCCCACCCCATTACCATGCTTTTTGCCTGCTCTGAGCCTTAGGCCTTCAATCTTCCTGCCTGGATAATTGACACTGCTGCTGGACTTCAGCTTCTCCTTGGTTTGACCCCTAGTCCATGAGCACAGTCTGTCCGAATGCCCTATTCATGCCACAAACCCTGTCCTACTGGGGCTCAACTATTTCAGTAACTTCAGAATTAAACTTTCACCCTCAGATCAAAGTCTTAGGTGATTTTTTAAATACATTTAATACTACAAAGGTTAAATTGTAACTATGAACCACATTTCCGAACTTTTTCTAGATTGTTTCTGCTAAATGCTCAACATGGCCTATAGGAATCCTTTTGAAACCCTCTGAAATCTCCTCTCATTCTAGGTTCATTCCCACTGACAGAAATGAGAACTCCAGGTCTCTCTGCTTCTTTGGGCTCCTCTAAAGTCTTTGCACATGCTTATCCTTTTGTCTCTGCTGTTCCCCACCCACACCCAACTTTCTCCCAGTTATGCTTACCTAGGCCTTCATCTCTCAGCTTAAATGCTACTTCCTTTGAGAAGCTATCCCTGGACACTCTACCCCCAGATCAGAAGAGGTTTCTTTGTTAAACTCGTGGCTTAATCTATCTTGTGTTTACAGTATCTTGTCTTTACAGTATTTGTACTTTTGTTTGTATTATCATTTAGCTAATTTATAATTCCTAAACATTTTGAATTTTCAAGCTTCTTGAGGCTGTAATCATATTTAATTTTGTTCTCAGTTGTACTCTGAGCACTTGGCACAGAACCTGGTACCTAATAGGTCCATAATAAATATTTAATTAATAAATGAATAGTATGCAGAGGAATATATATGGTAAGTCCTCACGGATAGATTCTTGAAAAGTGTGACTTTAAGGGAAACAAGGTACTGTATATACTGTATGCTGTAGGAACTGAACTCTTGCTTGTATCAATTAAACTATGGTAAAATTAGTTCTACTATCCAGTATGTCAGTTCAGTTAAAGTCACAGTTTCCAAGAACCTATCAACAACAAGTGAGGACTTACTGTACTCTAACTCAAAAATTTCTGATGTATTAATTATATTTTTCTCCTTTTCTAAGTGTGCATTACTTTAATCTGGGGATCCTCATATTAAATTCTGATTTCCACTGGAAAAACCAAAGGAGTTGTTGAGCCCTGGTCATTCATTAATCCAATATTTTATATTTATCACAAGCCGCCTTGTATGATAGGCACTGAAAATGCAAGGATGAATAGCCGATGTTGCACAAATTTTACTCTTAATTGTGTAAATTTATATTTCTTCTTTGGTTGACATATTATGGATATTAGATATATCACCAAAGATTACAGTTACCCAGTATAATTTGTCTTTGTGAATATAGAAGGAAAAAACAATTAAGTACATAAAAGTAGCTAATGTTGGTCATGCTGGCATGGAAAATTTACTTCTCAGTATACATTAACAGTTATTTAATGGCCTCCACCAATAACCCTTGATACTGCCATACAAACCTCATAATATACTTTATTAGTAAAAAACAGGCAGTATTATTGGTTCCTACTCTTGAGCAACTACAACTCTGCTATTTTAATAAATGACCTCTCATGTAATTTTTTTAACTGTCTAATTTTCATCTGCTGGATATGTCTAAGCATGTGGCAGTCAATTAGAAGAGATGGAAAAAGGATCCTGATTTCAGAAATCAAATTAAGATCAGGCATATAACAAAAACAATGAAAGAAATCAAATAACCATGTGATTTTACTTTGCAATTGCTACATAATTATTTATTAGTGTCATTAACATTCACGAAGATAAATTTCTCCATTTTAAACAGAGACACTCAGTGAGCAGTAACCTGATTTTTTTTGGAATTTCATTCTTTAGGAGGGCTTTCTTCTGTGTTTTTGTGAAGTTGCCCATAAGAGTTATGTCATTACATATAACCAAGGAAACCACAGGAAACTTGGTTGCTAGGAAACCCCTGAATTGTCTTGATGAAGATCACCGCAGTAGGCTTGGCTTGAATAGAACAGATGCTAGGAAAATAAAATTACGAAGTTACGGTCACTTTTTTTTAAACCTAGGGTGTCTCGTTAATTGGCAGTTAAATCTTTTCACCTAAAGAAACTAGAAAAACTGTTTGTCATGTCTGAAAGGCCATCACATAGGTGGAACAGGGGCCACAACAGGGTGCTGTCAAGGGCACTGTGATAGTGTGTGAGACTCCACTCCAATGAACACATTTTTTCTTTTCCCAATTAATTTGGCTACCTAGGGAAAGGGGTGTGGTGACAGCTACTGTCATCTCAACTGAAGGATAGATTTTAAAGAAAACGCACTTGTAATTAAACATTTTCAGACCTATGACTTTCAACATTCTCTAGTTCCCGTCATACAGCGTAAAAGAAGTCCTTGCCTCTTTCTCAAAAATGTTAAGATGTTTTTTAATTATGAGTAATGTCAGTGTCTATATACATACATACACATATGTATACATACATATATATGTATATATACATACATATACATATACACACACATATATACATATACTTATATACAGATACATATACACATACACATATATACATACATATATATACGTACATACACACACACACACACACATATATTATATACATATATATATATAATTTTGTCATCTAAGACCTCGGGGAGTTTGTAACTATTTGTTCCTCTGAGTAATTTGACTATGATAACACTTATAAGAACAAAGGAATGTCCCAAAATTGGTCAAGCTGCTGAACCATCCAACATAAGTCTTCTCTTAAGAGTATGAGGTGATAGGCCACCCAAAGTTCCCCTCAAAAATATCATATTTATGTTCCTATGACCTGTCCTGCCCTTGATGGTACATTATTGATGTATTTATAAATCTATCTAAACCTATTTAGAATCTAAGCATATTTCCAGCTGTATCACCCCTGGAAGAAATAGGCTTTATAGCTTTATAGCTCGTCCATCATAAGAAGAGATACTTCCTTTTATACCAAGCCTACCTCTGAAGGTAATCCTTTCTTTCTGCTATTCTACAAATACATTTGCCTTATTAATACTCTTGTCTTTCTACAGTTTTGTTATCTGTATATTAGCTAAGGTCACTCTCTCCTGAAATTCCTGTCTCTTCCATGATACCAACCAACTTTTGTTTTTCAAAATGAAATTATGAGATGTAATTCCTATCATCCCTTCTTCTCTTTCCTAAGAGTTGAGTTTGTCATCTACATAGATCAAGGGTATAGGAGATATTTTTCCATAAGTAGATTTTGAATTTTAGTTTATATACAAATAGATAAAATCTTGTGTGACCAATGAAGCATTTTAAATAAGGTGGATAGTATAAGCAGGCAATCAGATCATGATAGAAAAATAACTCTATAATAGCATAATGACAGAAGTTTTGATGTAGAATTATCCTGTGAGCAAAGATAATGGCTCAGAAATGATTTGAGTACTTCATAATACACAGAACAATCAGCTGTTTGAGACAAAAAGCCAACATACCACAAAACAAATAGTTTACAAATGTTTAAGAAGTTTACAAATGTTTAAGAAGTTGATGTGATTATATCTTATGCAGTCGTAGCAAGGTGACTGGCTAAGCAACTCTTTTATAGGATACCTATGAAAAAAAAACCTCTGTATCCTCAGAAACAAGATGGGGAGTTTGGGGCCATTGCAAGGTGAATTAATTTTACAACTTTATCTAAAGACAGCCATTAATAAATGTGAAAAGATCTATGTCAGCATGACCACTCAGTCCTGTCCTTGGCCATATCTTGCTTTCATTATTTTTATTTTTAACAATTTCTCAGATAAACATGGAGAAAACATTTTCAAGAAATCTGAACACAACACAAATCTGAGAGCGATAGCCACCATAAGGTATTACAAAATCAAAACACTAAAATTGAGTAACTATCTAAAATGATGGATGCAGACTTTAATAGCGGCTACGTAGCGGATGGCTATTGTTTACAAGGTACTTTGTATACCTTGTCTCTAATTCTCACAGAGTTTTGGCAAATTCAGTATAATTATTTCCAAAAATGAAGAAACTGGAGCTTTAAGAAGTTGTGTAACTTTTTTACAGTTAGTCAGTTAGTGACAGAGCCAGGACTTGAGTCCATGTCTAGTTACCTCTTTACCAACCAGACTGGCTAGCTTATGCTTTCATAACAACAATGTCAATCTCAGTGGCTTAGTGCAGTACATTTTATTTCTCATTCTCACTACGTGTCTAATGTGGGTCATATGGAGAACTCTGCTCAATACAGTCACTTCGGAACCCTTGTTGGTAGGGCTTCTATCTCCAAGGCTGCAGATGCAGAAAAAAAGGATGTGATGAATCACAAACTAACTCTTAAAGTTTCTACCTAGAAATGACATGATCTGTCTACTCACATTTCAAGAGCTAAAAGCTAGTCACGTAGCTAAATCTTACTTGGAGATGGGGGAAGAGGAGGGATATAATGGCATTGTGTCCGGGAGAAGAGAAAAAAAGCCCCAATGACTACTAGGCTCTGAAGCCCAAGTTCTGACCACTTCTTTGTTGAATATTCAATAGTATTGACATTGAAAAAAGATAAATTAACAGGCTTCTACTTCACTTAGTCTAAAAAGGTGCAAAAATACAAGTATAGCATAGGGTAGATCTGACACAGTAGCAAAAAATGTAAAAATATTTAAGAATTATTAGAGTAGAATCTGTAAATGAGACATCTATGTAATGCAGCTGTACGAATAGGTTATATTAATAGCATTGTGAATTCATGATTCAGGCAGACCAATAATTAGTCCCCATGCTCCCAAATCCATGTCTCCTGTCTAGACTTTCCTCCTGAGCCCCAGGCTTCTTTATCTGACTAAATACTAAACATCTCCAGTTGGATACTCAGAGGTTCTTGGATCTCATCATCCTAAAACTGACTTACTAACTTCCTGTCCTTAAAAAATAAATAAATAGCCCTCTTCTCACAGATGCCTTGTCTGAGTTGACATAGCACCAGCCAATTCCCTAAGTTAGAATCTTCAGATTCACTGTGTCCTCCCCACCCCTCTTCTCTGCTTCACACAGGCAATCACCAAGTTCATTTAACCTTTACTTAGCAATGTTCTTCCAACCCAACAACCTCAGCTCAAGCTGTGGTTCCTCAGCTAGTCTCAGAATTATTGCCGTAAACTTTTTTTTATTATTTATTTTTATTATTATTATACTTTAAGTTTTAGGGTACATGTGCACAATGTGCAGGTTAGTTACACATGTATACATGTGCCATGCTGGTGTGCTGCACCCACTAACTCGTCATCTAGCATTAGGTATATCTCCCAATGCTATCCCTCCCCCCTCCCCCCACCCCACAACAGTCCCCAGAGTGTGATGTTCCCCTTCCTGTGTCCATGTGTTCTCATTGTTTAATTCCCACCTTTGAGTGAGAATATGCGGTGTTTGGTTTTTTGTTCCTGCGATAGTTTACTGAGAATGATGACTTCCAATTTCATCCACGTCCCTACAAAGGACATGAACTCATCATTTTTTATAGCTGCATAGTATTCCATGGTGTATAAGTGCCACATTTTCTTAATCCAGTCTATCATTGTTGGACACCATAAAAACCCTAGAAGAAAACCTAGGCATTACCATTCAGGACATAGGCATGGTCAAGGACTTCATGTCTAAAACACCAAAAGCAATGGCAACAAAAGCCAAAGTTGACAAATGGGATCTAATTAAATTAAAGAGCTTCTGCACAGCAAAAGAAACTACCATCAGAGTGAACAGGCAATCTACAAAATGGGAGAAAATTTTCGCAACCTACTCATCTGACAAAGGGCTAATATCCAGAATCTACAATGAACTCAAACAAATTTAGAAGAAAAAAACAAACAACCCCATCAAAAAGTGGGCGAAGGATATTGCCGTAAACTCTTAACTGACTTCCCTGCCACTAGTCTGGACTGTTCCAGATCATTTTGCATACTTCTGCCAGAGTAATCTTTGTAAGATACTTTTAAAAATACTGGCCTACTTGCCATTGACTGCCCTTTCAATACCCATAGGAGAAAGACCAAGCCCAACTGTATAGAACATAAGGAACTTCACAATTTTGATCCTACCTTTCTGGCTTTATCTTTTGCAATACGTGAATATAAAGAACAGGTACAGACTTATCCACTAGTCTCTGAACATGCCAAGCACTCTGTTCTTCCATAACTCCATGCCCTTGTACATGCAGGTCTCTCTCCCAGGCATAAGCACCTTTCTCTTCAAAGTCTGGTGAATTTCCACTCAGTCCTTTAAGACCTAACTGAAATATCACTCTTCTCAATTAAACTTCTCTCTTTAAACACCTCTATTATTATCTTTGTCACACTATATTGGTGTTATTTCTTTACAAGTCTACCTCCTCTACTCAACTACACACTGTGGTAGGAATTAATTGTCCTAGAACTTAATATGGGCCCTAAAGTTTTGAAAGAATTAGGATAAAGATGAGCTGGAGAATGAAATGCTAATTGGAAGGAACTAATGGTGGAGTTTGCAAAAATCAACATTGGGTTAAGGTTCGCAGAAACAAAGAGTCAAATGTGAAAATTCCACTGGCATAATAGAAAATTAATTTATACAAAGTAAAATGTGGTTATTAACAGAAATTATAAGTAAAATGTTATTTACTTAATCATAATAGGAACACTCATTCAAATTCCCTAATGATTATGACATAAAATAAGAGAGTGTGGGCTATCAGAAATGTAAAGAATAGTTGTGAAAGCAAATCATAGTAAATTCCCAGCCCTGGCCAGGTGGCTCCAAAACTCAGCTGACCCTTTACTCTACTCCACCTATCATCTCCTTTATGAAAATCTCAGGTAGAAAAGATACAAAATATTAACACCACACCTGACTGCGTGCTCTTCGAGGAATTTTAAATTAGCACGAAGGAAAGTGCTTCCCTTGAGAGCTATTCTGGCATCTTACACTCACATATTGCAATTGGTATATGAGGCCAAAGCAACATGCTTTTAATAAAACATGCTATAAACATGGGATGGGGTGTTTTTCATTACCCTGGTGATAATTCCACTTTTTTCCCATCGGAGTGGAGAGACATTGAACCCCACTGAGCTGATAAAATAGGCTCCATGAATCCCTATAGCGAGAACAGAATTAGCAGTGGGATTGCATAGGTTTCCTATCACAAAAGCCTGGGTAGCATTTTATTATTGAAGTTATCTGATTGCTTTGGTTCAAACGTTTTCCCCAATTCTTTTCTTTCTCCATTTTAAATCACAACAAACAAATGAAACAATAACACAACAAGCAGCAGCGTGGGATGAGCTCCTCATCATCAAAGACAGGTGCGCAAACTTGCAGTCAAAACATCTATTTTTTGACAAGGCAAAGCTTGTCATGATTCCCCATAACCTGTCAAGACCAAGGGAAATATGTACTGCATGCCCTGGATCTTCGTGCTGGTGCAGTTATAATGTATTCAGAACCAGGGAAACATTCTAGTCAGAGTACCCAGCCACTCTGTTTCCTACAGCAACCTATCATTTTGTTTTCATCTGCTGTCAAGTTATTATTTCCCTAGCTGCATGTGGGCCCTCTAGATCTCCCTTCTCCCAAAATAAAACTTCTCAGGTGCTCTGAGAGCTGCTTTCCATGAAGGTAAACGCAGGGTGTGCTGCTAGCTCATATTAAAACTTCCCCATTCATTAAATGTGCACCTTCTCTCATTATTAAGAGGACATTTAAATTTTCCTGTTTGCACTTCTGTCATAAAAATTCCATTTTTAACTCAATGACTTCTTCCAAGCCATTTCATCATTCAATGCTTTATGAAAAATTTGATGGTGTCTATTCCTCTAAGTCCCACTAAAATTGCTCTGTGTCCAATGTTAGCTTCAAGTCAGCCTAAGAACAGATACTTATATCTCAAACCTGTAGGTTCATCCACTTACTCCCTAATTCAATGGTTCTCAAATTTTAGTCTACATCAGAAGCACTTGGGGAGGTTGTTAAACCCGCAGCTGCCTGCAAAGACATTGACTCAGGAGGTCCTGGGTAGGGCACAGGGATGTGCATGCTGACAAGCATCCCCAGGCGATTCCGTTCTACACACTGGGGACCACTGCTGAGCCAATGAGAACAGAGCCTGGCATAGGTATATTTCCAGCCCCATCCTTACTAATCGTGATACTTGGTGCATCCTAACTGAGTGAACCAGCACATCCCTAAGTCCATCAAGCTAATCCCACATCCCCCACCATCCCTGCCCTAACTCTATGCATGTGACTGGCTGTTCACTTTGGTTTCTTGATCAGTACCTCTGTTTCCAACCAAAACAAGAACTATGCCTGTAACTTCAGCCCAATGCTTGGGACTCTGCCTTGTTCCCAGCAGAGAGAATCCCTTCCACTGTAGTGCTAGCCACAGTCTAAATTTCTACTAAAACCTAGACAGATCACCAAGTAGAATGAAGATACTATCACATACCTGAAAAAAGACTAAAAGCAGGCCAGACCTACCATATCTGATCCTCACTTCCACACCTGAGCTTCCAGACCCCTAGAGCATTGATTTGGAACAGCACCTACTTTGAGGGTTGATCCCTCAGCCCTTCTACTGGATGAGTTTCTTGGGGTCTAAACCAGAGTTTGCTCTGGTCCCCACCTGAGGAATTGTTCTTAATGTATTTCACTTTGTTGCTATGATGTCATTGGCCAGACTGAGGGTCATTATAAGAAAGATTCCTAAGAAGCTCTTTATTGTTAATACTGTAATAATGTTTGCAAGGGTGTTCACGACTTTACTCAATTTCCTCTTAATGAGAACGCATGGGGAGAAATTTCTGTCTGGTCTTGATACCAAATATAGATTTACTGCTTATGAGCGATTGATTTGCGTTTTATCTTCTGAACAATACATTTTGTAAGAGAGAAGGCTCCTGTTTTTTCACCTTTGACTGATAGGAAACAGGACCTACCTCCAGCATTATATTGTATGTTTTCAGTCACATTCCCAGCAACTTTGTCCCCACTTTTATTTTTCTATTTTCTTTCACCCCAACATGTACTCTCTTGTTATATTTTCTATCTCTCTTGTAAGAGGTATAATTTTTTAAATTGAATTAAGGCTTACCCTTTCTGTACTGACCGCATGGACCCAAGAAAATAAGATAACTCAATGGCTGAGGATGACAAATAATCCTATCAACAAGCGTGTATTATGTATACACTTCAGGCTGAGAAAAACTGCCACTCATCTGAGAGATTATGACATAACATGGAGTGTTCATGCTTAATATACCTACAATGTAGCTGAAGAAAGAAGACTGGCACATACAGAATAATACCATATGATACAAGTGTAAAGGTTAGGAACAAGGTGATATTGATGGTTAGCATTTCAGGAGTTTAACAATGAAGGAAATTAGTGAAGGGAGAGTTACAGATTTTCCAAAGAGTTAGTGATTTTCCAAAACAGATAGAACTTAAACCAGCACTTAGGTTATGGAGATAATTTAAGGTTTTTGTATTGATAGAATGAGGAGAAAAACATTCTGGGTCAAATGAGCGGCATGGAATGGAGGAGGTACAGTGAAAAGAAGGAGGAATTTGAGATGAAACAGACATGGATTTGGATCCTGGATTCCTGACCCTCTCAGAATACTTTTCCTCATTTGTAAATCAGTATAATAAGGTCTATGAAGAATCTTGGTTTTATAAAAATTAAAGATAAACTGTGGAAAACAGCGAGTACAATACCTAGCACCCCTTAAGCACTCAAAGGTTAGTCATTTCTATGACAATAGTGATAAGTCTGGAGGTAGGATTGAGTGTCCCTGGCATGCAGTTTTCATGCTCACTAGAATGCCTGCTATACTGTGAGGAGAAGTGGAAAAAATGATTATATAGTTAGGCTGGGGACTGATGGTGGGTGGTCTTATAAGTTAGCAGATAGCTTCAGACTTGACAGAGGAGGCACAAGCGAGCTATTTAAAGTTACTGAACAGGGCAGTGACATGATGAAAGCATTGTTTAAAGAAGATTAATGTGGCCACGCAGGCAGAGAATGAAGGAGAAAATACTATAGGCATGGACACTAACTAGAAGGCTGTTGTGGTAATAGGCACAAAGCAACAACAAACTGCAGGATGAGGGAGGCGGCAGAAGACTGCAAAGGAGAGACTTTGAAATACTTTGAAGAAAATATTTCTTTCTTTGGAGAGGATTTTGTGATTGGCTATGGAGGAGGGATGAATGAGTCAAAGGTCAAGCCTAATCATAGTAATTGTCCTACCCATTGCCTCCTGCTTGTCTTTATCTCCCACTAGATTCTGAACTCATACAGAAAAACCACAATTTCTGTCTTGTTCACAGATGCCTAGCATAGTATTTCAAACCTACATGATACTCATAATATTTTTAAGCAAATTTCATCAGTGAATAATGAATTAAATTTTGTTCTTGGAAAACAAATCAAATGGATAAATATATATTATTAATGACTACCACAAATATTTATTTATTGAGCCTTTCTACTGAGCGCTTTATAAGCACTGTATATATATATATATATATTATTTCAATCCTATCAAAATTCCTATACAGTAGATACTAGTACTATCTCCATTTAAAACTGACAAAATGAGGCACAACACATTGAGCCAATTTACCCAAGGATACTTAACTAGAAAATGACAGAGCCAAGATTCAAACCCATGTCTTCTGATGCCAGAGCCTATACACTTACTCAAGGAAATGGGAATGGGCCTTGGAAAAAGAGAAAGTCCTGTCAAAAGAGAAACAGAAGTAATGGAAACCAGATAACTTTTTTATACCTTGTACTTCATAAGAATTTAATCTTCATATCGATTCCACAGGTAGGTATTCACTTAGGTTTAAAATGCTCTCCTACTGTGGATAAGCAAGGAGCCCAGAGAGAACAAAGGAGGCTCCTTGTTCTCAGCCAGTAGAGGACAGTAGATGTGAAAAGCAAAATAAGCATAAAAGTCAATAGTAAAAGAAGACTGCAAAGTAGCACCTGATGAAGTATGCAATGAGGACCAGGTTAATCAATGCTGGGATTTGGGGAATGGGAGTGAATGCTATCATATTCCTTTGTTTTAATGCTCCTCTGATTTTATTTTCTTACTTCTTTCTGCATATGCCCTTCCAACTCTCCTTTTGTATTATAAGACTGTATAAAATATATTAGTCCATCTAAAGAGTATTTCACTAAAAGCTTCCTTTCCAGGAATCTGATGACATGTTAGACTAGATGACTTGTGAAATGAGTACATGCTATTTTAATGGGCAAAGTGGTGTTTTTGCAAATCCAGAGTATTCATAGCTACACACACACACACACACACACACACACACACACAGAGAGAGAGAGAGAGAGAGAGAGAGTTTTACTTTTCACTCCCGTGTAGAATGTTTTATAGTAAAGAAAAGATGGGCTTTTATATATCCACCTGTCGTGCAGAGCAAACTGTTACAACACTGACCAAATCTCTCCAGTACTACTACTATAGGCTGGACACTTTCTACTAGTTCATATTGCTACCAGGGTTCCTGATAAAACATGAAATTTCCTTTAGAATCATCAACAATATAGAATTGAATTGCTAATTCCATACATAGAATTTTCTTTATTTATTATATACACTTTATTCTACTTGAGAAATTAGTATAGATAGATGTTATTAGAATATATATTTCAATGAGATTTTTTAAACATTACTTCAAAGAGACTTATTTTCACTAAATTTCTTTTATAAGGTGAATTTTGTTGAAATTCTATGTGGAAAGTGTAGACCTCAGAATGTTTGGGACATGGAATATCATCTATGTAAGATTCTCAGACAAAGGCTGGTGGGACTTAACATTCAAGTGAAGAGGACCTAGCACTGAAGTTTTTGAATGAAATGGAGAACGTTGATAACAGAAGAGACATATGCAGTAGGTGAATTAATCTCAATTGATGCCAATGTTAGATGCCTTATCTCTTATGACTAAACAGCAATTTTTATGGGGGAAAAGGAAGAAATAGAGACTAAAATTGAATTTCCTCACATGGAGCAAAAGACCATGGAGAAAGCTTTGTAAAAGATGCAGTAGCCGTGAGTAAGTCAGACCACAAAAAATGGAAGAATGTTTTAGAAGTTCTGGACTAAGGACCAAATGGAAGATGGGAGATCTCTTTCTCATTTATACAACATGTTCTCACTTACAAGTGGGAGCTAAATATTGGATACACATGGACATAGAGATGGGAACAGCAGACACTGGAGCCTACTAGTTGTGGAGAGAGGGATAGGAGCAAGGGCTGAAAAACTACCTATTGGGTACTGTGCTCAAAACCAGGATGATGGTTCAGTCATACCCCAAACCTCAGCGTTATACAATATACCTCTGTGACAATCCTGCACATGGACCCACAATTCTAAAATAAAAGTTAACAAAGAAGAAAAGAAAAATACATTTAATATTTCAAAATAAAAATCTCCAACACTCTAATAAGCGATAAGAAGGCCAGAGTGTACCTGTAACACATGGTGACACCTTGATGTTGCCTCTAAGATGGGGCTCCTCAGCACCTGGGGACACACTGGCGAAGACATGCTTTTCCCACTTTGTTTTCTATAGACTTCCTATCATTTTTATTATAAACTCAGGCTATTTCTGCAATAACATCCAAACAGTAAAACCTTTGCTAATGTTTTCAATAATTATGTTTTGAATTTTACTCATGTAATGAAGTCTCTTCTTTTCCCTTTTTTCCCCAATACTACAATTCAAGTTATAAAGCAGTATCTTTTCACTTGGTAAAAAGATAACAATATTCTTAGACTGACTGGTTTTGTCAACGCATCTTATTTGCTCAGTTTTCAACAACTTACATTACAGGCATGTTCTATTGGTAGTGTCATGGTGATTTGTGGAATTTGGTTGGTAACACTTTGACACAATTTTTTCTGTATGAACTGGAATAACTTTCTCACTTGGGAATGGAAAATGCCATGGCACAAAACCACAGAAATGTCAATCTGGTCAATAGCTCCCATTATTCTCAGAGATGTGCCAATGAAACGAAATCCTAAAGAATAATTTTTAAAATATTGGTATTCTCAGCCTCTCTTACAGAGTTAGAGACCTAGGGTTTTTCAGGATATGTAGAAATATCTGAGGACAGAACAGGCTTTTGTTGGGATGAAATAATTGCTCAAATTTGAAATTAATAAACGTTTAAAACAGCAGGCCATTTAAACTGTCCAACAAGTATTAAAATTATTTTCATTAAAGCTTGTTAGTATATATTTATATGTGTATTTTTATTTCTTTGAGGAAGATCTTCTACCTCATAATTGGAAAGACTACTTCACAATTTAACAAATTGTATTTTAATAGAGTTCTCACATACTTCATTTTAATACTTTCATTCTCAGTTCTGTCTCATTGCTCTTAATAGCACTTTGTTGCATTATACAAAATATTTTTTCCTCCTTGACATTTAGTATCTTCAAATAATATCAAAGAGCCATTAGCTCTCCCTTTAGTCCCCACTCCATCAAGCTGTGCTAATTAGCTCCTTTAATCTTTTCTCTAAATAACTCTTTCTATTCTCTAATCAGTTTGTGGTGAATTCTCTGAAGTTTCTTTAATTTGCTGGAATTTGGTGAGTGGCATTACATGGCATTACAGATGTACTACAAAAACGATGTGCTACTACTCTGCAGAATATCTGCTGGGAACTTAAAGCACTGGCAGGTTCATGTGGCATATTTCACATGTAACCTGTAGGCTGCCAGATATACAAAATGACAGAGATAAAGGGTCCAAATCCTCAAGCTCCCTCAAGTCACCAAATAGGGCACCAGTGTAACTGTGACCCAATCAGCAGGAGTTTAACTATAAATAGTTATATTTTAACTAGAAATACTTGTCCACTCCCCAGGGTCCACTGAAAATAAAAAAGCATTAAATGAAATTGAGAGAGACCAAGAGACAGAGACAGAGAGAGAGAGAGAGAGAGAGAGAGAGAGAGAGAAAAGAAGCAGGGAGAGACAGAAACCGAGACAGTGAGAGAGTGTGTTCAGAGCATACATTTTCATTTTTAATTCTGTTTTAAGAGAATCAATATACACTATAAGAGAAAGATGTGCAGGCTCTCTGGTGGCAAAATCCATCCCATTTTTTATCATCAGGGTTTATTCATTATATCTACATGTATTTCCTGAATAAATAAGGGAATTGATGAGTGGATTGTGGGGGTTAGATTGGGTCTCTTTCTCTCCTTTATGCTCATCCATCCAAAACTCTAAGTGGCCCACACTTGAAGAGAACAGGAGTGTTCTTTGATGAAGGTGATAAAGTGGTTCTTCCCACCTGCTAGAACCTCTCACGTATTATGCGCTTTTCATATGAGGTTTTGTGCTAGGCTGTGATGCAGAAAAAAATGAAAAGACAAGATCTAAGATCTATGAACAGATTTAAAGTACAATTTATGATAGTGATAATGAGGAAGCTGTCATGATTTTTAAAAGACGAATTGCCCAGTAAACACTAGAATGGGTTGGAGAAGGGAGAAATAACCAGTTTTGTCTCGATTCTAGAGATTAAGCACATGCTACATAGGTGGAGAAAAGGGGAAAGTGTATATAAGGAGATGGGCTGCACAACATGGTGATTAAAGAAAGAGGCTTTAGGCCGGGCTTGGTGGGTCACACCTGTAATCTCAGCACTTTGGGAGACCGAGGTGGGCAGATTGCCTGAGGTCAGGAGTTCGAGACCAGTCTGGCCAACATGGTGAAACCCCGTATCTACTAAAAATACAAAAAATAATAATAATAATTAGCCAGGCGTGGTGACATGTGCCTGTAGTCCCAGCTACTCAGAAGGCTGAGGCAGGGAAATTGCTTGAACCATGGAGGTGGAGGTTGCAGTGAGCTGAGATTATGCCACTGCACTCCAGCCTGGGTAGCAGAGCAAGACTCCATCTTGAAAAAAAAAAAAGAAAGAAAGAAAGAGGCTTTAAGCAAGGTAGAAAGCAGTCTCAATTTCAATTCTGTAGTTTACTAGCCATGCAACCTTAAAAAAATGGACTCAGTATCTCTACTACTCAATTTTCTCTTTCGTAAAATGGTTATAATACAAAGAACCAACTGTTCTCAGTGCTTACTATGTGCCAAGCAAAATATAAATGCTTTACATGAATTAACTTATTTAATTCTCACAAAATCCACGAACTGGCTACCATTGTGAGAAATAATTTTTACAAATTGCTTAGAACAGTACAGAGAATGTGATAATCATTTGAAGAGGTTGGGTATGATTATTATTACATCATTGTCACCATCTGAAGATATAAAAAATAAAGTACATAGAGTTATGTTATTTGACCAAGATCACACAAACAAAAATTGGTAAAGGCAAGATTTGAATCGGGAAGTCTATTTATTTCTAGAGACTGAGAACCCAAGTTCTTCACAATGTGGCCTTTAATAATAAATTAATATCTCTCAGAAGTACCTGGCACTGTCCCAAACACACAGAAAGCCTTAAATATTAGTGAGTATTCTTACTATTGCAGGGCAGACCAGAATTATAGTCAGGGCAGTATACCATTCATTCATTCACTTAACCAAAATTTAGA
Organism: Homo sapiens; assembly: GCF_000001405.40. NCBI lineage: Eukaryota > Metazoa > Chordata > Mammalia > Primates > Hominidae > Homo > Homo sapiens. The sequence continues at coordinate 66,077,561 of NC_000001.11, read as the reverse complement.
GAATATCTACATATCCTAGGCACTGGACTCAGTTCTGAGGTCATAAATGTAAGTAAAACGTGGTTCATGCCCACAAGGAACTTTCAACATATAAAGGAAATCAAGTTCATAAATAAATAACCAAAGTACTCTGAAAAGTGTGCTATTGCAATAATGGCAATAAAATTACACCTACCTCACTGAATTGTCATGAGAATTAAATTAAGTTGACACGTGTTAAATGTTTACACTAGTGCCAGAACACAGTATTTAGCATAAATGCATTAGCTATTATTGATTTTATTGTATTGTAATCATCTGAGTGGTGGTATGCTCATAAAGAAAAAGCAATCAGACCTAGAAGAATGAAACTGAACACCACCAATCATCATATATAAATATTAACTCAAGATGGATTAAAGACTTAAATGTTAGATCTCAAACTACAAAGATCCTAAAAGAAAACCTAGGAAATACCCTTCTTGATGTTGGCCTTGGCAAAGAATTTACGCTAAGTCCTCAAAATCAAATCCAGCAAAAACAAAAATTAACAAGTAAGACCTAATTAAACTAAAGAGTTTCTGCCACCAAGAGAAACTAACAAGGGAGTCAACAGACAACTTACAGAATAAGGGAAAGTATCTGCAAACTATGCAACTGACAAGGGCCAAACATCCAGAATCTATAAAAAAAATTTAAACAAATTAACATGCGAAAAACAAGTAACCCCATTAAAAAGTAGGCAAAGAACATGAAAGGACACTTCTCAAGGAAGAAATACAAGTATCCAACAAACATATGAAGAAATGCTCATCATCACTAATCATCAGAGATGTGCAAATCAAAACCACAATGAGATACCATTTCACACTGCTCAGAATGGTCTTTGTTAAAAAGTCTAAAAGCAACAGATGCTGGCACGGCTGCAGAGAAAGGGGAACTCATACACAGATGGTGGGGATGTACCCAGCCACTGTGTAGATCCGTTTGGAGATTTCCCAAATAACTAAAAGTTGAACTACCATTAAATCCAGAAATTCCTTAACTGAGTATATACCCAAAGGAAAATAAACTGTTCTACCAAAAAGGCAGGTGCACTCATATGTTCATCACTGCATTATTCACAAAGACACTGAATCAACCCAGGTGCCCATCAACTCTGGATTATATAAAGAAAATGTGCTACATATAACGATGGAAAATTATGCAGCCATCAAAAAGAATGAAATCATGTGCTTTGCAGCAACGTAGATGCAGCTGGAGGCCATTTTTCTAAGCAAACTAATGCAGAAATGGAAACCCAAATACTACATGTTCTCACTTACAAGTGGGAGCTAAACATCAAGTACACATGGACTTAAAGGTGAGAACAACAGACACTGGGAAATATAAGAAGAGCAGGTGGGCAAGGGCTGAAAAACTACCTATTGGGTACTATGTTTCCTACTTGGGAGATGGATTCATTCATACTCCAAACCTCAGTGTCACGCAGTATACCCAGATAACAAACTTGCACATGTACCATCTGAACCTATAACAAAAGTTAGAAGAAAAAAAAAAGAAAGAAAGAAAAAGAAAGCAGTAGTAAATCAATGGCCTGCACATCAAATTCAGCTCCCAGACTTGTTTTGCTTGGCCCATGGTGTTTTGTTTTTTTTGTTTTGTTTTGTTTTGTTTTGTTTTGTTTTGTTTAAATGTGAATGAGTTGCCGGCATTAAAAACATAGAAGATCATCATATAAAAATTTAGATATTCAGTTTCTCCTGAAAAACCTAAAAATTGGAAAGAACATTTCTGCTTGGTGAACATGAGCATGAGCCAAAGTTCAGCTCACAAAGCCCAGAGGTCTTCTTCCCGTTGCATGGTGCCAGAGACCAACTTGAGGCAGCAAGGCCAGGGCTCCAATTGCACAACTCCTTGTGAAATGGGAATGATATGTAGGGCATATAGAAAGCCCCTCCTAGATAAGATCTTTCCTAAAAATTTATTCACAGGATTATAATTTTGGTCAGTATTATAAATGGATTTTTAGAAATTCTCATGTCAAACAGAATATTGCTAAATCTCTCAAAAAGAGGGAATAAAGGCCCTGAGAACCTTTTCTAATTCCACAAACTGCATGTAAACCAGTAACTATAAAACCTGGAAATCTCACTTAGAAAAATAGATACTTCCTTAATAAGTTTAACAAAGAATTACCATATGACCCAGCAATAATGATACTCTCTGGCATACACCCAATGCATTTTAAACAGCTGTTCAAACAAAAATTTGTACAAAAATGTTCATAGCCCAGCTGATGTAGGGCAGGTGAACCCCAAAATTGGGGCTTAGCATGGGATAATTTTTGGCTTTGCCCAGGAAATAATTCAAAGGTGAGCTGGTGGTGTTAGACAGCAATTTTTATTGAAGTGGCAGTGTATAGCAGTAGCAGAGGTACCACTCCTTGAAGAGCAGGGCTACTCTGGGCACAGTGCCTGTGGAGTAGCCCTCCTCTACAAGAAACAACACTTCTGCTGCTGCTGTGCACTGCCACTTCAGTAAAAATTGCTGTCTAACATCACCAACTCACCCTTGAATTCTTTCCTGGGCAGAGCCAAAAACCCTCCTGCGCTAAGACCCAATTTGGGGGCTCACCTGCTCTACATCACAACTATTCACGATAGCCAAAAGCTGAAAACAACTCGAATGTCCATCAACAGACAAACAGATACACAAAAGATGGTGAATCCATAACATTAAATATTATTCAGCCATAAAAAGGAATGAAGTACTGACATATACTACACCATAGATGAACCTTGAAAACATTATGCTGAGTGGAAGAAGACAAACACAAAGGCCACATATTATATGATTTCATTCATATGAACAACAACTTAAGCAAATTCATATAGAGAGAAATAGAAAGCAGATTAGTGCAGCCAAGGACTGGGGGAGGGGGAAATGAGGAGCAACTGGTTCAATGGGTACAGAATTTCTTTTGGTCATGATCAAAATATTCTGAAACTAGATGGTTGTGATGGTTGCAAAATAGTGTTTATGTACTAAAAGCCATGAGCTGTAAATTTCAAAGTGGTTAAAATGGTAAATATTGTTATGTGTAATATTAGTACAATTTAAATAAAGGCATTGCTCATAGGACTTAGGTTTTCAACGAGCATGGGCTTTGTTCTCTTTTGTCCAAGTATCTCCGTTCAGTAAGCTTTTCTTAAATAAATGAAATAGTGCTTAATCAGCACTATTAGAAAGGAGATAAAATAATTATTGAGCAAAATGAAGCATGACCTGACAATTCCTCACAAAAGGAAGGTATTATTAATACTTAAATTTTTCTGACCAAGAAAACATTTGGATATGCTCACCATTATAAATGTGCAGATGAATTCATTAAACCAAAGGTCTTCCAGTCCCTCTTCCAAGGACATATCCATGAGCAATCACATTTCCACAACCTTCTCTGACACAGCTAGTGAGCCTGAAATGGGTAAGATTGCCTGCCTGAAGATCAGGTGCTATCCACCTATCGAATTACAGTGCTCAAAACATATAAGCAATGGCTGAGGGATTCCAGCCTTGAAGTTCCCAAGGAACACTGCACTCGACATTAAAGCCCTATCTGTATTAAATTTAGCTCTCATATACCCTGGGTCTACTCCTTTCCACACTATTATCTCTATGTCTTTGAACTTTTTTCTTCTATGATATGGTTTTCATACCATTAAGTAATACACACACCCTTCCTAGGATTCATTCTTGTTTGTTAATGTCCTTAGAGGCAGCATCTGAAACTAGGCTAAGTGTTCAAATATGGTCCACAGGGGTGCCAGAGAAGAATTTCCAGAGTTCCAAAAACTACATTTCTATTGATACAGTTTATATTTACTTTGGAGAGAAGCATGTTATCTGGTTTACTATCGGATTTGTTGCCAACTAAAACTTGGAGCTGGCTGCAAATATTTTTTTTTCAAAAAGCACAAGGGGGAGACACAGTTGCATCACCACATGCCAAGAAAGGAAAGGGAGGTGGGACAAGAGAGAGTGGAGGAGGGTGATATGAGCTGGGTGTACAGAGCTGGGCTCCTAAGACTGCTAGTACCTAGTTTCCCCATCCCTTCTATAGTCATACGTGTCATCATAAAGCACTTGACATATTATTGAGACTTTCCTGTCTAGGTACTCTTCTAAAACTTTTGCCAACACTGTCTCATTGAATTCTTACCATAATAACATGAAATAGGTTTGAAGAAATAAAGTCTCATTGCCCAAGATAATGTAGACAGTTTGTGGTAAAGCCTCAAATCAAACACAGATCTGCCTAATCCCACAGATTGCTCTTAAGTACTAGGTGACATTGTAAAGAAAGGTGCGTAGATGTGCCATGGAAGGGTTCAATCTGTTGGGCGCACCAATTCACAGCAGACACAGCAGGACACAATCCCTGTCCCAGAGAATCACAAGATCCGGCAGGCCTGGCCATCAAACCCCAGCGAGGGCATTGTCAAATCACTGTACAAGGGCAAATATGTTTCTATAAGGAACTGGCTGAATGTACAAAAAAAAAAAAGGGCTAAAGGCTGAATACAACTTGTGTTAGAGAAGTGGGATTTTTTTTATTTGCTGTTTAAATTTTGTTTGTTTACTTCACCTCCACCTTCATCAATCCTACAGTTTCCACAGATGTGCATTAGGGGTGTTTGCTCTGAGATCCCATTTCTATTATGGCAATGTATTATACTTTATTTTCTATTTGTTCCACTTTGATCCCCACTAGACTGAAAAAATTCCAGGACAAGGACCATATATGATTTGCCTTGATGTTCCTAGAACCTAGCAGGTTACCTAGAACAGAGCAGGTATTTAGGACTAAATACCTGAATAATTCTGTGTAATTTAATAACTAAACTAGAATGGAAAGACAGAGAATCCTAGTGAGTTGGCCATGTGGGAACCATTTTGAAAGGCTGCATTGTATAGGCACCAAGATTCTCAAAACAGCCATAGTCACTCTTTAACAGGGAAAACTCCACTCTCCAGCTTGTTAGTAGTCTGGAGGGCCACCTAGCTGCTTGCACTCCTTTCCCCCAGAAATGTTAAGTCTACAAACTAAAATTGGTAAAAGCATTTTAGTAGTAGAATTTCTCTTAGAGAAATTATAAGGAAATATCCACACATTTGAAAAAATGTTAGCAACATGGGTGAAAAATGTTAGCACTAAGAAAAGAGAAGGAAAGTCCAAATCAAATGATTTTGGAAATCAGCTGTCTTTTACACTTGATAATGATGTGGATGTGTATCTTTTGGAGGGGAAGGTTAATTCTACTTAGAAATAAGGACACCACTCTTTTACTTCAATGCTTGCTCATTATTTCTTAAGCAGCCTACATGGTATTCATGGACCTTCAGAATTTTCTTTATAGGAGAAGCATGCAGTGAATGATTTGGCTTAAAGCTTCCTGTGCATAGTGAGCGGTTTATGTGTGTACATGTACGTGTGGTGGCTTAGGGGTAGATTAAGAGAGATGAAGGTGTAGGCTAAAACATAGCCAAGCCATGTCTTGGAGATGTACTGGTGCTGTGAAGAGAACACTAAACTGACAAACAGGCGACATGGCCTTCAGCATGTCACCTAGGCTCTTTGTACCTCAAATTTTTCCGCTTTAAAATTAAAGAGTTGTACAAATTAACCTCTAAGTTCCTCCTACCTATAAAGTTCTATGACCTTAAGAAAACAAAAGGGCTTTTCAGTTGCCCACAGAGTCTGAAAAATCAACATGCTTTATTTTGCAAAGGTTATCGATAACACGTAGTCTTACAGCATCTAAAGAAGCTACTTTTTAAGATACAAAAAATCTGTCATAACAGGGAAGCTGTCCACAGGAGGTCTACATGCTCCTCTTTTAGAATGCTGAACTCTGGATGCCAAAGAAGATGACAAGAGGTGACAGCCAGGAGGGGAAAGTAATTCTCAAAAAAGGTAATTCAATTTAAGTTGACACTTAAGGGAATACTTAAGTTCCTATCAGTATCTGGTGGGAAATGATGTAAGCTCCTTACATTTCAGTTTTACAGCAATGAAAAAATAAGAAATCATTTCAGAATATATTCCCAAAGTACTCTTCAAAGGGAACTTTAAAATTGAATCCTACAAATTTATAGCCAACATTGGAGTTTAATATTCTGCTTTATCAATCCAAATTTCTCTGAGTTGCATTTATCTATAGATGGGACAGTTTTGAATCATCTAATCTTTATATAATTATCCACTACAGATATATTGTCTTTAATAGTAACTCCTTCATGTTTATATAGTAAGTGGACAGCCAAAATAACCAAAATAAAATTGTAAACCTAAAAAGGATCTCAAAATTTAAGTCATACAAAATTGTTTGGAGAAAAAGTGAGCCTGCTTTTATTGTATCAAAATGCTTGGAATGACCCTCTCTTAATATTATTAGAGTATTTTATGCTGCTAGTCAATGCAAATTAAAAGCAATAATTTAAACTTCATTAAGAAAAATGTTAACATTCATTAAGAAAAATTATTAACATAATTTACTCTGAAGAAAGAGTAAATTTTAAACAGTCATTTTTATAAAATAATGCTTTCATAGCTTATATATTAAATGCCATATTTTAAATGGATTTTGTAATCAATAAAATGATGTCATATCCAATCAAAATAAAAGGATATTCCCTGAATTCCTGTGAATTTATAACTTACCAAGATAGAAAAACATGTTCTTAAACAAATCTTTATGAATATTTAAAAATAAACCACAAACTAAAGTATAACAATTTTAATCAGGTATTTAACTAAAATAAATAAGAAGGAATCACTTCAAGTGCATGTCTCTGATTGTCCATGTTTCCATGGCAACTATCTCTTTCCTGCTTTTTTCTCTTTCCTTTCCTGCTTCCTAATATCTTTGTTGGTCGATATTTTATGGTAATTGTTTCCATGGAAACTTGTACTTGTCTACTTTTTCCCTAGCCTAAATCTCCACCTTCCCAAAAGGTGAGCCAAAAATGTAAAATTTCTCAGCAAAGATGAATTCAGAATAGCCAGAACTTTGGGACAAATTATTTTTAAATGGTTTATTGTCACTTAGTGTCTCACTTTACCACCTTTCACCGCCCCCAGCTTCCCACTCCATCTACTTTTCCCTCTACCATTCCCTCATATACTGACACATTCTTTTTTCTCCAGCTTGCAAATGTCTCTTCCACCCTCAAAGCTTTTCCTCCATATAGTTACAGACTATATATAGTAACAAGAATATTCACATATTCCAACTAAAGATTTCAACAGACCTTTTTCTCCTGAGGAAAAAAAAATGCATATAGACACATTAATCAATCTAGCTCAACACATTTACAGGGTGCCTGCCCTATATGAGCTGACCACCTGTGGCTATGATTATGAGAAGGTGGTGGCACTTGCCCAAAAAGAATTCAGAGCCTTGTAAAAGTGTATGAACGTGAAACAGATAATTTCAGAGTAACAAGTGTAAAGAAACACTGTGTATACCCTGATCAAGATTTCAAAGTCCCCCTCGATGAGCAAACACAAAAATACATAGTACACACATGCACATGCACACACTTGCACATACATGTAAATATAAGGAAGAATGGAAGGAATATTATAACAGAGCTTTACACAAAGAATCAAAAAGGAGTAAATCTTATTTTTTGTAATCATAAATATAAGTTAAGGATTCACAGGAAACATAATTCCACCCAAAATGGTTTAAGTGAGAGATACAATGAAGGGCCAATTTACAGAGTTTTCATTTCCTCCAGGAAGTTTTTTCTGACCCAGGCCCACATTATTTCCTAGCCCCATGACACCCTATTATTATCTATAATGGTACCAATATTCCATTTTAGAGATTATCCTTTTTATGTCCTCAGTAGACTTGAGATCTGAGAAAGCAAGGAATACGGCCATCTCATTTCAACACTGCTAATTCCAAATATAGTATGTGCTCAATAAATGTGTGACCTCTACTGGGAAAGACAGAACTGTAGATAATCAGAGCCATAAATCTAGAAAATAGTATAATGCAAAACTAACTGTAGAAAATGCTAAAGGCAGAAGTATAATCATATGCTATGGAAGAGCTGAGAAAAGAAATTAATGTTATGATAATCAATTCATCTTATTGGAGAGTGACAATTTGAGATTTGCTTTGAAGTTTGGTTAGGATTTCATCCTACAGAGATAAGTCAAGGAGGGTATTTCACAATAAACGAAGCTTTATGAGTGGCATAAAATAAGAGACAAAAAGAAACAGAGGATGCTCAGAGAAAGACATGCTTTCCTTGGATGTCAAAGACTCAATAATGGGAACATGATTGGAAAAGTCAATTGGAGTTATTGGTCAGACTTTGCTGATGCACTTCAATGCCCAGGTTAAAATACACAATAGAGGACCATGTAAGAACACAGCAGGGTGTTAACACAGTTACCGAACAGAAACAGGCTTATCTGGAAACCATTCTTAGAATGGCCACAGCCTGTTCTCTTTGTCAAATAATTCTTACTTGCAATTTAAAGCTTTATTTAGTATCTATGTCTCATAGAAGAATGGAATTCTTCTAATTCAGGACTTTATGAAGACAACAAAAAATTCAATTCGAAGTGATTTAGCCACACTGTGAGGTGACACTTACCTACAGGTAACCAAAGAGTGAACTGAACATGTACCTATCTGTTACAAACCATAAATAACAGATTTGTAGTTGTACAATTAAGGAATTGATCAAAGCAATGAAAAATGATCTCATTTGGATCTTCCTTTTCCATGATCCCAGATTACTCTTCTTCAGTGTCTCATTATATTCTATATCCCATTTCTGCCTATATTGTAATGGCCTTATATAAAAGTGTGTTTGTATGAGCGATTATATTTAAATGAGAAGAATTTTTTTTATATTTTCATCTGCAATTGTTCAAAGTGTATTAGTTAATATAGCAAAGCATATATTATTTTATTGCCCCAATCCAGGATTATGACTTGATTATAAGATAGAAAATCAACTTGATGGGGGAAGACAGGACATTAATCAATTCCAAATTCAGGAATGTTAAAATATAAATTTTTAAATGGGTAGGGGTTCACTGCATTTTGATTTTTAAAAATGTGATGTCATTTCTCTCAAAATCTTATCAATTCTTCATCAATTCTGTTTCTATATTTCTATCTATTGGTTAATTCTAATATCTGCTACACAACTCTCCAAGGAAGTTTTTTCTCTTTCAACGCCTGCTTTGCAAAATGCTTGCAGACTCTTTCTCTGTATCCCTGGGGATAGCTTCGCTGGTTTTGAGTTGTATTTCTGCTCTGTGCTATTCCTTCAGGGATAGTTCTCCAAGTTGTGTTGTCTTCCTGGCTTTTCACGGAAGCGAGAACAATTATACATATAGCTCCCCCAAGGCACTGACGTTTAGTTGCTGTGTCTTTTTTTTTTAATTTTATTATTATTATACTTTAAGTTTTAGGGTACATGTGCACAACGTGCAGGTTTGTTACATATGTATACATGTGCCATGTTGGTGTGCTGCACCCATTAACTCGTCATTTAGCATTAGGTATACCTCCTAATGCTATCTCTCCCCCTCCCCCCACCCCACAACAGTCCCTGGTGTGTGATGTTCTCCTTCCTGTGTCCATGTGTTCTCATTGTTCAATTCCCACCTATGAGTGAAAAATTAATTCAAGATGGATTAAAGACTTAAATGTTAGACCTAAAACCATAAAAACCCTAGAAGAAAACCTAGGCAGTACCATTCAGGACATAGGACATAGGCATGGGCAAGGACTTCATGTCTAAAACACCAAAAGCAATGGCAATAAAAGCCAAAATTGACAAATGGAATCTAATTAAACTAAAGAACTTCTGCACAGGAAAAGAAACTACCATCAGAGTGAACAGGCAACCTACAGAATGGGAGAAAATTTTTGCAATCTACTCATCTGACAAACGGCTAATATCCAGAATCTACAATGAACTCAAACAAATTTACAAGAAAAAATCAAACAACCCCATCAACAAGTGGGCGAAGGAGATGAACAGACACTTCTCAAAATAAGACACTTATGCAGCCAAAAGACACATGAAAAAATGCTCATGATCACTGGCCATCAGAGAATGCAAATCAAAACCACAATGAGATACCATCTCACACCAGTTAGAATAGCGATCATTAAAATGTCAGGAAACAACAGGTGCTGGAGAGGATGTGGAGAAATAGGAACACTTTTACACTGTTGGTGGGACTGTAAACTAGTTCAACCATTGTGGAAGTCAGTGTGGCGATTCCTCAGGGATCTAGAACTAGAAATACCATTTGACCCAGCCATCCCATTACTGGGTATATACCCAAAGGATTATAAATCATGCTACTATAAAGACACATGCACACGTATGTTTACTGCAGCACTATTCACAATAGCAAAGACTTGGAACCAACCCAAATGTCCATAAATGATAGACTGGATTAAGAAAATGTGGTTGCTGTGTCTTATAGGTTTCTTAGCTTCAGCAATCTACTTTTTGTTGTGTGAATATTATAAAATAAAAATATCAGCTTAAATGTATCTAAAACTGCTCTGAACCAAAAAAGATTATATTACTTTTCCTGCTGAATGTTCAGAATAATCTTGTGAGGTTTTAATCTTTTTAATATTCTACATATATGAGAACTAAGTCTAAGAAGATCAAGTAACATACCTAAAATCACATCGCTAGTTAGAAGTCTGAGCCAAGATTCATATTTAAACCTTTGAAACTAAAAAGCCAACATTCTTAAATAATAGGCTTCATGTGCTATGCCTTCAGGAGATTAGTGGGGAAGGGTGAATGAGACATAAGATACAAGGCGTTGAAAAGCAGAAATGAACATGAAACTATAACTTTTAAGCCAGAATGAAGAAAGTCAAAAAGTAATTATATTCTGCAGCTTTTAGGGAACATATAAATTCACCTGGAACTTTCCAATTTTATTTACATTTTTCTAAATGTTGGCACGTCACATGTGCATTAACATTTCAATAGAGCCGGTGCTAAAGTGTGATAGTTAAATTCAAAGGCGAAATCAGCTTTGTGTACTCAACAGAAATACTACCAATCATTTCCTACTGGAAATGCTGGAAAATAACTTATCTTTGAACACTTAGGAAATTTGCATAATAAATACTACTCACCAAATCTGCAAAGCTTCAGGGCAAGCTTTTTCTGTATCTACATGACTAAAAAATGTATACTAATTAATTTAGGTAATGTAGGGGATGGAGGAGGCTGCGGGTAGGGACTATCTCATTACTAAGTGCAACAAAATTACATAAATTATATGAAAACACTCATCACAGAAATTAAAAATTAAGTGCTTGATAAGGATTGAATACTGAAAGATCAAATGATACATATTCTATTTTTAAATATACAAATACATATAAATTATTTATATATTTTTCTAAGTTATAATTTTTGTTACTAGAAGGAAGAACAAAAGCACCCAAAAGAAGACTGAATGAGCCATTTAATATAACAGGAAATGGATGAAGTTTTGCTAAAGTAAAACCTACTACTAACACATGTATATATCTAAAGATGACAAAAGATACCACTAAGCCTTTTTGTACTACGGTTAAATAAAAGTAAAACCCTAGCACCTAAGCGGAGGACTAATATTGGAGTTAATTATGAACTCGGTAAGCGTACAACATGCATATGTATATTCATTGATATCTACTCTTAAAACCTACATTGTATAATAATAGATAAAACACTGGAACAAGAATTTGAGAACTGAATTTCAGTGTTCATTCACTCTGCTACTAACTAGCTAGGTGATCAGGCAAGCTAGCCCTTCTCTGATTCCTTCTTCTATAAATGAGGAAGTTGGACTAGATGACTAAATGATCACCAAAGTCTCTTCCATAACTAACATTCTATGATTACATTTTGTAATCACACCACAGAGAAAGTCAAAGAAGTACAATACAGTTCCCGCATTCAAGACATAAACAGACTTATTGAAAAAAGAAAAGCAACGTATAAAAATGACAACTGAAACTCCAGTAATCCGGTTTTGTTTTGTTTTGCTTGCCTTTGGTTATCAATTCTAGATCATAAGCTATTTCCCAACCATAAGTTATTCTAAATTGAAATACACCCACCACACATATTATTCATTAATTCTAAAGTATGCATTTTTTTACATGTTAATGTTTCTGAAATCAGGATGCTACTTAAAATTGATGGCAACTTACATTCAATGACATACGGTAATAACCACTCAATAAATATTTAGCTCCATGAATGAATGAATAGATGAATTAATAAAGATTGATGTTAACTAAGAACTAGTTGATTTCAATCTTTAATTCCAATTTCATTAATAATACCATAAGTGATTTCTTTGATGTTTAAAAAATTAATTTAATACATTATTTATAAATCTACCTCTAAGCAAATTCTGGCCTTTGATTTAAAATCTTGAAAGAAAAAGTTTGACGCAGAAATCTAAAGAAGTACATAGAAATGTTTACATAGCAAGAATAAGAAAACATTAATTTTGTATTTATTATTTAAAAGTAACGAAATTTTTATTTTATAGCCAAATTCATGTTGCAGAGTTATAAAATGAGAAAAGCAATAATATAGTTTAGGGGAAAAGACTATAAAGTTTCTGAAACTTTTTTTTCTTTTTAACCTCTGATTTGGCAAGAAATATCAAAGACATAAAGCTCATTCAGAATATTTTTTAGTAAATGCTACTAATAGTTAAGAGTTGGCACTCAAGTTAAAACATAAGATATAGCATTCTAATAAAGATGGGAAAGCAAAGTGCAGTGTCCAAGAATTCAGTAAAACACACTGCAACCCTAAGTTTCCATAGAGGTATCAGGAAACATTAGACTTCAGAGTCCAGGAAAACAGCCCTGAGGAAAAGAGTCAATGAGAACTCTACTGGTAAATGGGCTAAGGAGGAAGCTCCACTTGGCTTTCATTTGGCTAACAGTAAATACCAGCAAGAAATTGGAGGGCAAAAGAGAGACAGACCATAGCTACTTATTCTGTATCCCTCTCTATCTCTGGACTGCCTCCTTTTTTTCCTTTTCTTGTTTTTCCTCATTTCTTTATTTTTTTAGTAGTGCAGAACAGCTAGTGACTTCCAATCCCACAGCTCCATTGAGTGGCCCTTCTCTTCTGCATCAGCTCCTGCCCCAGTAACTCTGTTTTACTTTCTGCACCTTTACTTTTTCAGACCTAGGCTTCCCACTGTCATTAGCTTCTTGGCATTGCATCAACCCTGGCTTTGTCCCTTACCTTGACTATACCCCTGTAATTCCTTCATTGACAACACTTCATTAGCACCGTTGGAAGCAAATTCTATTTTTGCTGATAAAGGCTAAGAAAAACTTGAGCGAAACCTAAAATATAAGTAATATTGAGGTGTATGAAAATCTACTTCCGTTTAATCATACCTCAGTTTTTGTTCACAACTTATCTTATTACTCTCCGAAGAAAAGCACTGACTCAATTTTGGGTAACTCACTGACTCATTGTTAATTCTGATCTTTCCCAAACATTATTATAATGTTCAGTAGTGAGAGGTCTAACTAAATAGGAGAGCACCTGTTCATTTCAGAGGACTCAGAGAAAACATACTGGATGTTCTTTATGGATTCTTTTATGCAAAAGTACCTTCCATAAAATATAAAACCTGCTTCTGATTTTGGCCTTGATCATTCATTTATTTGAACACATTTAGACATTTCCTACTTTTAAATTTAAGAAACGAACATATCAAAAGGAAAAAAAGAAACTATTTTACCCAATGTTAATTAAAAAAATTGCTCTATTCTGATTATAACCTAAGTTTTTAAAAGACTTGAGAGAAGATACAACAGTTCCCTAACTGTTGGGATATTGAATATTCCCAACATAAAGAAATGATAAATGTTTGAGATGATGGTTCTGCTAATGACACCAATCTGATCTTTATGTATGTACTAAAACATCACTATATACTCCATAAACATGTATAATTATTATGTGTCAATTTAAAAAACAAAACAAAGTATAATAAGAAAAACATTAGAAAAGACTAGTGTTTCCCAACCTTGGCTTCACATTAGAATTACCTGGGGAGCTGTCAAAAAATACCAGAGCCCAGCACCCACTGTAGATAAATTATATCAGAATCCCTAAGTAGGGGGCTCAGACTCTGGTAATTATTTTTTACTCTTCAATTCTAAAGGATAGCCAGGGTTTAGAACCACTGAAGTAAACAATATTCACCTCCTCTTTTTGCTCTAACCTTTTGTCATTCCAACTGAGTGAGAAACTAGAGACAAACTCCCATCTTTGCAGTGCTGTGAGGATTTTAAGTTTAGTGTCTTTTAAACTACTCATTGGGCAAAACTACTAGGGCATGAAACAAATGATATCTACTATGGGGCCGCTGTGTGCAAATAAGCTACATGAGGCCATTGCTGATCAATGTTTTAATAAGGTCAAGCTAGAGACAAGCAGTACCAGCAGTACCACCAGCTACCAGGCTATGTTGTATTTGGGATTGCTGCAGAGACACCAACATGCTTGATTTACCACTCAGAAAAAGGACTCTTCTGGAACATGAGGATCCATACTAATAAGCATGTTCTTCACTGCACTAAAGAAGGATGTGAAAGAGAGCACAATGAATTGTATTAAAATGGTCAACAATTTTAAATAATAATGCATTTCATTTGGATTTGCAATACTTAATGCAATACAGATACTGAAAGTTTCTTTTTAGAAAACTAACACAAATCAATCACTGCTTTTCATAGAATTTTAGCATTGAAGGGTCTTTGAAGGTCAGCTTGCCTAGCATCCTACCTAATTTCTACCAAAGGCTGAAATTCCACTCTAGCATACCTTACAACAATTTTCAATCCTCTGCTTTACACTTTATTTCATAGCTGAACTTTTAGGGCTTCCAAATGCCACCAGTTTCACTATAATCTCTATTTGTTGGGAAGCTCTTTGGTAAACTTGAACAAAATGTCCTTCTCCTTCAACATTTTTTCTTCTTCCTAATTCACTTGAAGTCATGCAGAAAAAGCCTAATTTCCTCTATCATCTGAGAGCATTCTGAATTCTTTTAAGAGAGTTATACAGAATCCCCAAGTTGTCTCCCTGAGTATCTTTCAAAGTAATCTCCTATAAACCCTCCATGATGCTAACGAAATAAAGTGCCATTTTTATTTAGGTGCCATAGTTACCACTGTTTACAAGATTAGCACCAATGAGTTTATTTGTAGAGGAAAAATTGCATTTTGTAAAGAAACCCAGAGTAGTTCCTGCTTTTCATTTTAACTAAGGTATTTCAGTGTTCGGATTTTCTTGCTTAGTCAGAATCTCTTTTCCCTGGCTTGGGATATAGAATATCAGCAATGTTTAAATGCTAAGATGGCTAAAGTATTCAACCTTTTGCAAAACTAGGTGTATAAGCAACCTCTTATCCTTGCTCCTAAAACAAGCAAAGATCCATTTGGGAAATCAAGTATGATCACTTTTCATTTGCTTCTTTATGAACCTCACAATTATGTCCCTCTCTCCCTGGAGATAAAATTAAGAACTTCTTTTTATTATTTTTTATTTTACTTTAAGTTCTAGGATACATGTGCAGAATGTGCAGGTTTGTTACATAGGTATACATGTGCCATGATGGTTTGCTACACCTACCAACCCATCATCTAGGTTTTAACCTCCTCATGCATTAGGTATTTGTCCTAATGCTCTCCCTCCCCTTGCTCTCCACCCACTGACAGGCCTGGTGTGTGATAAAACAGTTATTTGTAAGCAGTAAGAGAATACTGAAAATCTCTCCCTTTTGCTAACACAAAGCTCATGATTTCCTTTGGTATATCAGTTTAAATAAAATAATATTCAACAGATTAGATGGTAATATTAACCTTTATCAATTTTACACAATGAGTGTAGCTCACAGAACTTCAGTAAAGTCTTGAAACAAAAGAAAAATATCTCATAATTGGACAAAGGCTTAGAGACTTTATGATTCGATCTTCTCTCTCTGTATCCATTTTATAGGTTGTCTTTTTGCCTTTCACCAGCCTGTCCTTCATGAAACCGAGAAGTCTTTACTCTTAGTGGAAAGATAGTCTGAACTCATATCCAGACATCAGACCTTTGGTTTCTTCTTTAGAAAGCATGGGCATTTGGATAACCACTTTCCTGTGTTCTAATAACGGTATTACAGGGAAAATAATAAATGTTATATTGCCAATCAGTTTTCAGTTATTATCTAGTATGAAGACAGTGTGAAGTCACATTATTTAATCCTTCTTATACAATGCTTCCCTTCCATTCAAATTAAGGTTAAAATCTGTCATCCTCCTGAGTTCATGTTTCTTGCTAAAGACCACATGTAATCTTTATCTGGTGAATAAACAGGCTATCTTTCTCATTTTCAAAGAACGTGTTCTAGAGATTCCCTGAAAAAGGACAAAGAACATAGTTATAGCTGACAGAATAAATATGCTGCCCACTCTTCTTTCTCAATTTTATTCACTTCTTTTTATGACATTCAGTGACATTCTAATCATTTTCTTATATGTATTACACCTATTTTTCACTCTCTTTACAAGAAAGATACCCCCACTGAAACACCAGACTCAGGAAGAAGAGAAGGACCAAGCAGGAGTGGCTTCACAAGGCAGGAGACACTGACCTCACACTTCATATTTAAGAATCCAAACATGGTTCCCTGTATTTTCCTACAATTGGAATAACTAACTTAACACCTAAAACAGCACTGTCCAACTGAAATATGTGAGTCACAGAAGCAAAGCACACTTAGAATTATAAATTTTTTAGTAGCTATGTTTTAAAACAAGTAAAAAGAAATGGGCAATACTAACTTCAACAATATATCTTACTTAGCCAAATATATCAAAATTTTACAATTTCAGCATGTAATCAATACAAAGTGTGTTATGATATATTTTAAATGTTTTCATCTTATACTAAATCTTCAAAATCCAGTGTGTATTTTACACGTGTAAACAGTTTGGACAACCATAATCTAAGCATTCAATATTCACATGTCTGGCTAATGACTACCACATTGGAAAGCACATAAAGAGTGCTACATTTTTCTGAATGTTCCTTTAAGGAAACAACAAGTATTGTACTATGTATTTTAAATATGGGAAGAATTTTACAGCAAGTAAAAACTCCTTGATATTTTGGTCCTATGTATTTTTCTTTCTACTTTTTGCACAATACCGAAAGAGTTAGTAATAGTCAAGAACATTTGATAAGGAGTCTGTGTTCACTAGCCCTACAAAATTTAATCCTGAAGCTTCACAACTCGGTGACAAATGAAGCCAGATTGAAAACCACAAGATATAAATTGTTGCCTGAAGTCCCTTCTGAAACAAATAAGAGCTGTTAACATTCAGGGGGCATGCTATGCTATAGTAGTTAAAGAATTAATCTTTACATATGGGTCATTTATAATTTAATTTTCACAGAATGACTTACTTAAAAACTGTTTTTGAAGTCAGGGTTGGATTCCAAATGTGTATGGACTTGGAATTCTAACTGAGCTTTTTCCTTGGTTACTGCCATTTTGGCCAGAAATTGTTTTAAATTCTCAGGGGTTCCATTGTAAGAGGTATCTTAAAAACAATGTGATATAGCCAAAGAAAATAAGCTCTCTTTTGATCCCATGTTATATGAGAAAATATTAAGATACCTGAATATATATGTGATATGATTTTGCTCTGTGTCCTCACCCAAATTTCAGCATGTGGCCTCCATAATTCCCACATGTTAGGGGAGGGACACAGTGGGAGGTTATTGAATCATGGGGGCAGGTCTTTTCTGCGTTATTCTCATGATAGTGAATACGTCTCACAAGATCTGATGGTTTTCAAAATGAGAGTTTCCCTGCACAAGCTCTCTGCCAACTGCCATTCATGTGAGATGTGACTTAATGTGCCTTTCACCTACCTCCATGATTGTGAGGCCTCCCCAGCCATGTGGAACTGTAAGTCCAATAAACTTCTTCCTTTTGTAAATTGACCAGTCTCCAGTATGTCTTTATCAGCAGCATGAAAGCAGACTAATACAGCAAATTGGTGCCAGTAGAGTGGGGGGCTGCTGAAAAGATACCTGAAAATGTGGAAGCGACTTTGGAACTGGGTAACAGGCAGAGGTTGGAACAGTTTGGTGGGCTCAGAAGAAGACAAGAAAATGTGGGAAGGCTTGGAACTTCCTAGAGACTTGTTGAATGGCTTTGAGGAAAGTGATATGAACAGTAAGGTCCAGGCTGAGGTGGTCTCAGATGGAAATGAGGAACCTGTTGGGAACTGGAGCAAAGGTGATGCTTGTTATGTTTTAGCAAAGAGACTGGTGGCATTTTGCCTCTGCCCTAGAGATTTGTGGATCTTTGCATTTGAGAGGGATGATTGAGGGTATATGGTGGAAAAAATTTCTAAGCAGCGAAACATTCAAGAGGTGACTTGTGTGCCATTAAAGGCATTCAGTTTTATAAAGGATGCAGAGCATAAGAGTTCAAAAAATTTGCAGCTTGACAATGTGATAGAAAAGAAAATCCCATATTCTGAGGAGAAATTCAAGCCAGCTACAAAAATTTGTGTAAATAATGAGGAGTCAAATGTTAATCCCCAAGACAATGGAAGAAATGGCTCCAGGGCATTTCAAAGATCTTCATGGCAGCCCCTCCCCTTCCTTTACTGGAGGTCTAGGGGGAAAAAATGGTTTCATGGCCCGGGCCCAGGCCCCCTGTGCTGTGTGCAGCCTAGGCTTGGTTCCCGCATCCCAGCCTCTCCAGCCATGACTAAAAGGGGCCAAGGTACAGCTCAGGCCATGGCTTCAGAGGGTGCAAGTCCTAAGCCTTGGTAGCTTCCACATGGTGTTGGGTCTGCAGGTGCACAGACATCAATAACTGAGGTTTGGGAACCTCTGCTTAGACTTCAGAGGATGTATGGAAATGCCTGCATGCCCAGGCAAAAGTTTGCTGCAGGAGCAGGGCCCTCATGGAGAACCTCTGCTAGGCCAGTGTAGAAGGGAAATGTGTAGTCAGAGCCCCCACACAGAGTCCCTACTGGGGCACTGCCTATTGGAGCTGTGAGAAGAGGGACACCGTCCTCTAGACAACAGAGTGGTAGAACCACTGACAGCTTGCACCATGCACCTGGAAAAGCCACAGACACTCAATGCTAACCCATGAAAGCAGCTGGGAGGAAGGCTGTGCTCTGCAAAGCCAGAGGAGTGGAGCTGCCCAATACCATGGGAACCCACCTCTTCCATCAGCATGACCTGGATGTGAGACATGAAGTCAAAGGAGATCATTTGGGAGCTTTAAGATTTGACTCCCCTGCTGGATTTCAGACTTACATGGGGCCTGTAGCCCCTCTGTTTTGGCCAATTTCTCCCATTATGAATGGGTGTATTTTCCCAATAGCTGTACCCCCATTGTATCTAGGAAGTAACTAGCTTGCTTTTGATTTTACAGGCTTATAGGCGAAAGGAACTTGCCTTGTCTCAGATGAGACTTTGTGAACTGTGGACTTCTGAGTTAATGCTGAAATGGGTTGACTTTGGGGGACCGTTGGGAAGGGATGATTGATTTTGAAATGTGAAGACATGAGATTTGGGAAGGGCCAGGGGCAGAATGATATGGTTTGGTTTTGTGTCCCCACCCAAATTTCATCTTATAGCTCCCATAATTCCCACATGTTGTAGGAGGGACCCGGTGGGAAATAACTGAATCATGGGAGCAGGTCTCTCCCTTGCTGTTCTGGTGACAGTTAATAAGTTTCACAAGATCTGATGGTTTTAAAAATGGGAGTTTCCCTGCACAAGGTCTCTCTTTGCCTGCTGCCATCCATGTAAGACGTGACTTGCTCCTCCTTGCCTTTCACCTTCCCCCAGTGATTGTGAAGCCTCCCAGCCATGTGGAACTGTAAGTCCAATAAACCTCTTTCTTTTGTAATTGCCCAGTCTCATGTATGTCTTTATCAGCAGCATGAAAATGAACGAATATAATATGTATTAGCCTCAAAAAGGCTTCCATTCTTTAAAAATTGTTTATGTCTTCATACTGTTGGAACAGTGCTAACTGCAAACCAAGAAAGAAAGAGGCCCTTATCCAAGGACTCTTTTAGTACAATACTCTTTTAGTATTTCCTCCTTTTTAGCACAATCTAAAAATGAGAAAAAATGGCAGAACTAGTAATGACTAATGTTGCAATAATGTAGTAAGAGTGGGAAACATGTCTATTATTATTTACAGTATATCCAGCACTTAGCACTTGGTGTATACTAAGTGCTCAGTAAATATCCTTTGAAATAAGGAAAGAGTTCCCTCTATGCAAGTTCATGGTGCACCAAACTGGGGACTCCTATAAATAAATTTGTCTTGGGTAGGGGATGATAATTTAAGCTTATATTACTACAGATTATGCTAGAGATGAATATACATACATTCAAAACAACGAAAATATATTTATTTCCTTCAATACAATCTGAAATGTACACATGTATTAGTTTTTATTGCTGCTGTCATAAATTACTGCAAAGTTAGTGACTTAAACAACACAAATGTATTCTCTTACATTTATGGAGGTCAGAAATATGACACAGGTTTCACTGGGTAAAAGTCAAGGTATCAGCAGGGATATGTTCCTTTCTGGAGACCCTAAGGGAGAATCTACTTCCTTACCTTTTCCAGCTTCCAAACATGACCTGCATTTCTTGACTCATGATCACATTCCTCCATCATCAAAGCCATCAATATTGTATCTCTCTGATGATTCTTCTGTAGTCACCTCTCTTTAACCACAGCCAGGAAAGGCATAAAAGGTCTTCCACTTTTAAAGATTCATGTGATTAGACTGATCACAATCATATAACCCATCTCAAGCTCCATATCTTTAATCACATCCACAAAGTTTCTTCCCAAGTAAGGATATAGATAGATAGATAGATAGATAGATGATAGATAGATAGATAGATAGATAGATAGATAGATAGATAGATAGATGATAGATAGATAGATAGATATAAAATTTCCTTGCTTTCTCCATGTCTAGATGCTGCCTTCATTCTTTGGCTCCTGGCCACCTTCCTCCACCTTCAAAGCAATTAGCATTGCATGTCTCTGACCATTCTTCCACAGTCATATGCCCTTCTGACCACAGCCAGGAAAGGCAATTTTACACACATCTCTCTCTCGTTGCCTTTCTCTCCCTCCAACCCCCATAACTTCTGTAATAGAGAAAAGGTCTGAAAGAAAATAAATTGCATGCAAATAACAATTGAAATTAAAATGAAACATTTCATCTATTTTTCCCAGCTATTTCTTATTGCCTCCAGAGGCCCCATTAGCCTGAAAAGCACTGTTCAATAAGTAAATTTAAAAAAAGTTAGTAGCATAAATAAAGTAAGCATCACCTACATACCTGACTATAAGATATATTCAAATAATGAAGTTAAATCAATTATGGGAAAAATATAAATTTTGTTCTAGGGAAGTGTAGCCAGAAAATATTACACATATTGGTATTTACCAAAAGTGGTAGTTCTGTTGAAATATGAATGTGAACAATATTGAACATTTCTGATAGCTACCTTTTTGTAGACAAAACAAGTAATCACAAACCCTCTGTCTACCTCAATCTAACATCTAACATATCAACATGCTTAAATGAAAAATTTTTTCAGAGTGTGCTATATTTATATCTCAAAATGTTATCTACTGTTAACATTAATATTTTTAATGCATCATTTTTGATGAAAAAGTATGCTTTTAAATTAAAATACCTGGCATTCTTAAACATTCAGTACTGAAGCACTGGAGAAAAGCATCTACTTAAATCTCAATCCAGACAAAGAAGGAGTTGCTATAGAAGGAAAGAGTGGGATGAGTTTAAAAATAATTTCTTATTCCTGACCTACAATACTAACCACAGTCATCCATTCTCATGTACTTGTTATCTCATCAGAGTATTGAAAGAAGTAGAAAATCAATTGCTTTCATCCATGAACAGAATAACAACTTTTTAGGTAAGACTAATAATAGCTACTATGTGCCAGGCACTAAACTAGCTATTTTATTAATCCTTTATCTATTTTTATTCTTACAACAACTCTACATGGTAAGTTTGGCTAGCCAAAAGATAATCGAGGCTCAAGGAAGTTAAATAAATGCCAGTCAAAAGTAACTCACCTGATAAGCGTTACGCAAACATGCTCTTTACAATGCAAAGCCAACCTCCAATACAATTAAGCACCATGTGCCTCCACAATTTAAGAACACTGCCTTCAAAGACAGAGTCTAGAAATTGCATAAGTCAGCTAGTAGTTCACTCATGATTAAGTTCATGAAATAAAAAAGAAAGACTAATTTAATATTCCTTAGTTCCTAGATGTAATCTTCCTTCAAATCTAAATCAGTAAAATCAAGACTTTGATATTACTGATGCTCATCTAAATCGCATTTGCACTCTTTAAAACGCAGTTTGACTAATATCACCTCTATAAAGGTGTCCATGACAACACTAGTTTACACTGATTTCTCCCTTCTCTCCAATCTGAAGGCAGTTTTATCGGCACAATATTATAGGAAGATGTCATGAAACTGAAGAGATGTGAGGAGTTGGGATTAGGGAAACAATAACACTTTGAGAAGGAAGGGCCTATAGATAAGGAGGAACCATGACAGAAGAGGAAACTGGCAGGTATCTGTGGATACTGAATGTATACATCATATATTTCAGACCCATCAGGGAAAGTGAAGTTGAAGTAGGGTACACATGAGAAAGATATCATTCAGGAGTGAACTATGGGAAAGGGAAGAATAAAATATCAATCTGTACTACAAGTCTGTAGTAACTTATGGAAAATAGGGAATAGGCTTTTGGGAGAAACTGAAGTGTAAGAAAAATTAAACAGCCAATTGTCAAATGAGACGAAGCCAATTAGGAATGAAAGCATGAGATCTACTCTCCTAACAACTTTTAAAGAGCACAAGATATAGGCACTATGTTGAACAGATATCTAGAACTTACTAAAAGGTGGGGGCATGAGAAAACTTTTGGAGCTGATAAATATGTTTTTTAACTTGGTTATAGTGACTGTTACATGGGTGTATGGATATGTCCAAATTGTATACCTAAAATATGTGCTTTTTTGCTATCAATTATCCCCCCAATAAAGCTGTTTACAAAAGAATCATGACAAATATCCGAATGCATGTTCCTGTCTAACTAAATGTATAAGGCTTTGGTATATGATTACCTATCCAAACATATTACACGTTAGTAATCTATGATCACTTTTTGTGATATATTTGTATTAAAATACAAATCACGGCAACATGATGGAAATATAAAAGCACAAGCTTCAGAGTCACTCAATGAGGGTTCAAACCCTGGATCCACCGCCTTCTGCATGAGAAACAGAAGAGCTAGGTGCTTAAAAGTGTAGGTCCTTGAGCACACAACCTGGATTTAGGCCAACCAACTGTTCCACTTACCTGAGACTGTTATGGTGTGAGCACTGAAAATCCTGTGTCCTGGGAAACTCCTCAGTCTTGAGCAAACCAGGATAGTTGGTCATCCTACTTAGGCTGCATCCCATTCCTTTTATTATTATTATTATTTTTAATTGAGATGGAGTTTCTTTCTTGTCACCCAGGCTGGAGTGCAGTGGCACGATCTCAGCTCACTGTTACTTCTGCCTCCTGGGTTCAAGCAATTCTCCTGCCTCAGCCTCCCAAGTAGCTGGGATTACAGGCACCCGCCACCACCCCCGGCCAATTTTTTGTATTTTAGTGGAGATGGGGTTTCACCATGTTGGTCAGGCTGATCTCAAACTCCTAACCTCAGGTGATCCTGCCCGCCTCAGCCTCCCAAAGTGCTGGGATTACAGGAGTAAGCCACTGCGCCCAGCCCCCATTCCTAACATTCACCCACTGTGTGACCTTGGCCAGGTTACTCTATCTCTCTGTGTTTCATTGTACTCAACTGTAAAATGCCATTGATAATAATGGTACCAACTTCAGCTGGGTTGTTCAAAGAAATAGTTAATACACATAAAGCTCCTAGAACATGTCTGGGACATGATAAACAGAAAATGTAAGCCAGTGGTTATCAGAACTTAAACTTGCAGATTCTTAGATTTCTTATTGGAAAATGGAGAAGATAATATTTACTTCATAGATTGAGGCTTAAATTAAGTGAGATTATTACATAACTTTCTTTTCTAATGTCTGAATATAAGAACATGTATAATTTATTCAACAAACATTTAATACACATACGTAAAAGTATTTTGTACACGCTAATGAGTTATAAAATATTATTAAGGCATTTCAGGAAAGATAAATGGATCTCAACTACTTAAATACCTGCTTAGATATGAGATAACTGCAGAATATATTCAGGCCATATACTGTAGAACATGTTTAGCAGTAAATACACTGTCTCCCACATAGAAAGACTAAAATGGGCTCGGAAATAATACATTTTTCTACACTATAAAACTCCTAATGACACTTTATTACATCTAATGCCTAAGAAATATTGAATACTTTTTTTGTGCTCATGGGAGGAAGGTACAAATGTGTAGTCTCGAATGTAAAATGAAGAAGCTGCCCATCAGCCTGCCTTCTGGATTCTCAGAGGAAACCTGGGTAACATTCACTTCATCTGGGAAAACCGCTAGTGTCATGAGGCTCAGAAAACACCCTCTAATTTGATAAATTTTAAGCACAGTTACAAGTTGACAGAATTACAGGAGTTATAGGTGCTCTCTCTATACCACCCTACACACATCACACTCCTAATCATTTCTCGGAAAGGATTTCACAGTTCTGGGAAACAGCTGTGGCTTACGAACATGAGGAAGCAAATTAGGTTAAAGAAACAGAAGAGGAAAGAAAAGAGAGAAGAAAGGCAAAAAAAAAAAAAAACTCGGTCCCTGAACACAGAAAGCTAAAGCAGTAGTAGGACTTCTTGTGTTCTAAGCCCTGGCATGGCCTTGAAAGAGTCCTCTTAGCCCTCTAGGCTCCAGCTTTGTTATCTGTACAAGTGGGTTTGATGCGATCTCTAGGGTCTCCTGAAACCCTATCATTATAAATATTTTCTTAAAATTCCTTAGTCACTAAGATTCTGCATATAAAACATGAGCTAACAATTTTTGCAAGCATTTTTAGCTTTCTTTGTGAATTTTTAAAGGATAGTACAGGTAATCTGAAGCTATGCATACATGTGAAAACTGATTTTAAAAGTAAAACTTTACGGACATTTCAAATAGAAAATATTTATCCATATGATATTTTACTTGTAATAGTAAAGTATATGATGCCAGTTGTATTCTCTAGAAATCAGACTGTGAATTGAAGTTTAGCATGCAGGATGTTTATTAAGAACTGTCTTGTTGGACTCAACAACATGAAAGGGATGAGGAAGAAGCAGGACTGGCAGAAGAAAAGCTGAGCTTCAATGCAGGCCCCACCACCTTGGTAAACCCAACAGAACCTCAGAAGATGGCCATACCTTTATACCCCAACCTTCATCAGCTATGAAAGTAGGCTGCCCT
Organism: Homo sapiens; assembly: GCF_000001405.40. NCBI lineage: Eukaryota > Metazoa > Chordata > Mammalia > Primates > Hominidae > Homo > Homo sapiens. The sequence continues at coordinate 66,051,926 of NC_000001.11, read as the reverse complement.
AAGGAGTGAATAGTATGACTTTGGATAAAAAGGCAGGAGCTGGGAAGTGTTTCTTTTAAGAGGTATCTGGATGCTACATCACCTTGTCTACCACAATACATGAGTGATAATAATCTATAAGTAAACATTTCCAGAAAACATATCAAATGTTATAGAAAAACGTTATATCTTCTATTCTTGATATAAAATTCTGCTTGGCAATTTATCCAAATCAGCAAATAACCAAATAATATCAACCCTATTTGAGATGTTTTTGAAGGTCAAAAGTAGCATTTTAATAGCATCTATTCATTCACTTTGTAAACTGTCATCTAATTATATATTTACATATATATAATAAATGTTTTCTACCTCTGTTCACAGTCTTCAAACATGAACAAATTATTCTTTTTCAGCGAGAGGAATAAAGGAAAAGAAATCTTCTCTTTTCTCTTCATTCTGAAATACTAAAATGAATAATTTATATTCCCAGATTCCGTTCCCTAATCTTTCCCCCAAAATAGAAATGTTCACTCCATGGAGCAGGGTTTGAATTTGGTTCTCTCCTATACTGACCCAATAATCATGAGGTTGCTATTAGTTTCCCTATTTTAAGGTGAGGTCGAGTGACTTGTCACAGATTCTAATACTCATTATTCAAACACATTTTCTATCACAATCTTCAATACTTTCACTTATTTTGTTTTCTTTCAAATTTAATTTTTTTTAATTTTATTATTATTATACTTTAAGTTTTAGGGTACATGTGCACAACGTGCAGGTTTGTTACATATGTATACATGTGCCATAAGAGAGACTTCAGGATACAAAAAGTTGTTCCAAAGGCAAAAACATACTTATACTTTAGAAGAAAATTTAACTTTTAAAAACAGAAAAGTCATCATTTCTTTGTACCCACACAAGTGGTGATCCAGTTTTTTACATTTCCATTGGGAATTTTCTGTGTCTAGATTCCTCACTCTGCCTCAGGCTGTTCTTTTCTTAATTCAGTCCTTCCTGTGTAGTTTCTTTATTCTCATTTCATGGCACCTCTTCCTCCCATTGCTTTTCCCTTCCTCATTTTTCAGTCTGTCCTTTGGATGTCCATGACAGGGGCAGCATTTGTTTCTATAGTAACGATGATGCTCCTTCACGGATCTCCAATACCTCGATGTTCTAACACAGCCATTCAGGATACCCTGCCTTTCATCATTTTTAGTCAGACAGGAAAAACTGAAGGGATTCTTTTTAACAAAGGTGTATCTCAGAACAGAATCAACGTTACATGTTTTCTTGGCCCTGTTAAGTATGCTGTACATCTGGAGGCATTGCTTTTAAAGTAGAGCATGGCTTTGCAATACAAGATTAACATTCTTCCCAAAGTCTATACGGCATTGCGAATATCATACATTAGTAGGTAAATTTAAATGAAATACTTTATGTATGTAGGTGTGTGTGTGTGCATACATGTAAAATCACTAAATATATATGGAGAAATCAACACTGTCCATTATACTTTCTTAGAATTTATTAGGTTCTCACAAAGTTGAGCCAAGAGGCCACTGCTTTGTTTTCCAAATGTCCCAAATTCTATTTCTGCTAAATGATGTCACTAATGTCATGGTTACAACAATACTGCACAGAGCCTCCTTCCTGCCACTGGCCACCGATACAATAGATCATTTAAGCAGCTGAGTCATTAGTAAAAACAATAGATTTTTCTACTGATACTCAATTGAACATATATTTCCAATTGAACATAGAATTCATGGAAATAAATTTTAAAGTTTCCTCATATTATATTAGACAACAGTGTATATCCTGTATTCTTTAATTTGTTGAGGATATAATCTGTCTCCATAAATCCGTATGCTGAATCTCTGAATCAAAGAAACCTAGGTAAAAGGGACTTTTTGTTGCCTATGTCCCAAAACTACTGTCTTTTTGAATTATTCTTCTAAAAATAGTTTTAAATGTATTATTTATTTGTGTGGAGTTTTCACACTACTTTAATTCCTAGCAGTTGTGTGGGAAACGTAAATACATTTTTTTCATCTCTAAAGCAAAAGGTAACCCGGGATCCAATTCGTATTTATACAAAATTAAAGTGAAAGGCATTTTGAGGATGTACACGGTGGTTGAAATGCTGAAATTAAGTTCTTGGCATTACTGGTATCCAACCCCACCTTGCTGCCTTCCACATTTATACATTCAGGAAGCCCCATACCACACTGCAAATGGGCATATCACTTCATTTCCTGCTCTATTCTCTTGAAGGATTATTTAGGAAATCCATGCATATGTGGCCCAGTTTTAGAAAATATCATGTCAGCATACTAATTTTAATACAAATAAGTTACATGTTAATTACATGAGTTTTCATGTTTTTAAATATTAAACGTAGGTCTAGTTGAAAAACCTCCAGAAATAGCCAGGTCTCTTACTTAGATACTCTCTTCAGCACCCTCTATTATTTGGTGAGGCATCCTAAGAAGGTATTTTTGTTACTCAAACCATACTACTCCTGTTTTAAAGCCCATCAGCTGGCAATACTAACACAGACACCACACTCCCACTCTTTTCCCTCTGCCAACAACCAGGCATGGGAAATGTATGAAATCCATGAGGGTAACTGACCTGACAGTTGTAACATTCAGAGATTGTAGCTTTTCCATTCACAATATCTGAAATGAATTTTAGATGATGCTATTTAAAGCAGCACCTCAATTTTACATGTGAAGAAACTGAGGCAAAGAGTAGTGACTTTGTCATGATTAGGATTCAGGTTCACAATAGAATTTAGAGTAGAGCCTAATCTCCTTATTCTACACTTACGATATTTCCACTCTCAGAATAACAATTAATAAATATTTAAAAGTTTACTCAAATATAAGATATGGAGATGTGCTAGATGTAAAAGCACCAAGTTCCGGGGGCCAATGCATTACTGGATAAATCATAGTAGATAGATTGACTAAAGACGGAGAGCTAATTCATTAAGCATTTCTTCCCATCTCCCCAACAATGTAACTTAAAAATGGAGGTGTCTACACTTACCTCTTCACTTCATCCATCACTCACTTACTGATATGTTAAGAGTGGACTTCTTGTGTGTCCTCTGACCTATCAGTGAAAAGGAAGTGATCTCAAGTAGCCTCCCAAACAAAAATATTTAGATATTTTCAAAGATATTATCAGTTATAAAACATCCGAGAATGAAGAGTAATAGGCTGTGAATCAGAAGACTCTATTCCAGCATCTCCACTGCTCCTTGACTATGTGCCCTTGAGAAAGTCAACTCTACTTGGCCCCAGCATCCACAACTATAAAATAAAGGAGCTAGATTAGACAATTACAAAATGCCCACAAGTTCCGTGGTTTATTTCTCCTAGACTACTTTCTTTGTAGTGTAAATCATGTTTAGCATGAAAGTTACACCTTCCAGATAATTATTTTAAAGCATATTGAATGCCATATTTACATTGCTCTATTCTCCCAAATCAAATAATATCTGGTCAAGATTTTTCACCAGCATCCCCAAGTCATAAAAGGATATGATCGTGGGAGCCTGTTTTATTGACTGCAAGAAAAGATTATTCATTATTATGTAGGAGGACAGTGGAGTTGATTGCTCCTTAGCTGTCAGGAAATGGCTCATCTATAAGACTTGGAGTATGGGGGTGGTGCAAAAGGAAAAGTTTACTCATAAATACAAGTGATGCCTGGATAATGGAAGTTTAGTGATCAAAAGCCAAAGGAAGTGATAATGGCAGTCACCCAAACATTGCATTCAGAGGCTAGTACAGGAGGTACAGCAATGAGAGAACCGTGAGCTTTCTGCTTAAGTGAAGTGACAAGTTACTGTGAGGCAACACATACAAGAGGATACTGGAAGCAAGTCTGAAAATAGCAATGGTCTGCCAAGGACAAACTGTAGACGCCATCCAAAGAAAGAACGTGTATGCATGCTCTGTGGAAATGATTCGTCTGTCACTTAACAGCCATTAGCTCTTCATACCCACAGATGGCCATCACCAGTATTAACAAGACACAAGTGCTAAGTAAACAAGCAACACTTCCCTTGTCAGGACAGGACAGCTAATGTTGGGGTGAAATTTATTTAATTGCATTTATGAACTGCTTCTTCAAAGGGTCTGAACTTATACCACAAAAGTAGGAAAGGCCAAAGTCTTAGCACAGTCAATTATGGTCATGTTCAGTGAAAGCTCACGGTAACAGATAGAAAGGATATTGCCCCATCATCTTCAGAGACCATCCATATAGCCTTGGAGTTATGAGTCTAAAGCATGAAAAACTATATGGAACTTTCTGCCACCTCTAAAATATTTAATTCAGCTCTACACTTACTGGGCATAACAAATTATCTCAGAACATCCATATGGAACACACTGAGCAACACTGGGCTGGAGCTCAGCATACCTGGTATAGTAGCTAGGAATAAAGTCTGGAGATCTGACTGACTCAGTTGTACAGGGACTTCTAGGCTAGTCTAAGGAAAATTATGTTTCCTTCTCTTTGGATAACAACAATAACAGCCACCTTAGAAGCCAGGCATTGCTTCTAAGATATTTTCATATATTAACACCTATAATCCACTCAATAACCCAGTAAGGTAGGTGTCATTTTATCCCTATTTAACAGATGAAGAAACTGAGGCAAATAAAGGTTAAGTAGAATATAACCAGTAAGCAGCCTGGAGTCCAACTAAATCAGTCAAACTCCATGGTTCCTGCATTAATCCCTATGCTGGGCTGTCTCTCAAAGGAAGAACAGAAAGCTTAAAAGATGGCATGTTTCACCAGTCTTGCCACATTTCTCATAGGAATCACTGATTGTCTTAAAAAATATCAAGGAAATCACAGGAATTAATACTCTAAAGTTAATATTTGCTATTCTTTAAATAAAACAATTTATAAAATCCTATTTATTCTTAGTTTTGCTATCTTGTTTCTGTGCATAGACATCAAATAGATAAAAATCTAATTAAAGTTCAGAAAAGTTTATCTGCATTGATTCATTATAGATTTCAAGATTTTGGTTCTTAAAGAGTATGCTAGAGCCCATTGTATCTGAATATTGGAGGATATTCTATTCAGGAAGGCACTAAAAGAGTGAATAGCAGAGGGGGATAATATTCCTAAGTGAAGCAATGTTACACATTTCTTTCCTCATTGAGTAGCCTCCCTCACTCCTTACTGTTAATGATTACAGTCATTATTCCACTCTTATGGCCAAAAACATGTAATTCCCGATAATTCAGAGTCTTCTTGGTTTAAAATGGAAAATATTTTACGCAGATAAGAAATAACAAGTGCTGACTTTCGCCAGACATGATTGCTTAATTTACCACCAGGAACAAAGGTTCTGGGATGTATCTTGCTCACTCCTGATTCTCTTTGAATTCTGATTTCATCTCTATCATATTTCTTCACGTTGGGAGATATTAGAATGAGTACAGATAGTTTTGGAATATGGCTAAAGGAAAGTTGAACTGAAGAAATACTGAGTTTGTGCTTATATAAAATACATTTCTTTTTCTCAATTTTGTGAGGTTTGTGGCTTGTCATTTTATTAAAGTGTGTAACCTTGTGATTTATTCTCTCATTTTAAATAAATATTTACTTTCATACCTGCTTTTGAATTAATAATTTTACTTTATTTTCAGGCCCCACAAAATCTGCATCTGTTCCTGCTGCTCAAGGTAAACATTTAGAACTCTCCATATCACGTACATTTAATAAATATTTCTCTAAATTTTCTCTCCTCCATCTCTATCGCTATGGACCCAATCTAAAGCTTCATCCTATCCAGCTCAGATGACAACAATCACTTCCTAACTGGTTTTCCTGCCTCCACTGTTGCCCCTTTCAAATATCTCTTCTGCACTGTTGCTACAGAATAATTCATCTAAAATAAACACACTCCAAAAGCAGCCCATCATGTGTAAAATCAAGTCTGATTCCCTAGCATGGTCTCATTTGTGGTATGGTTCTCACCCTTACAGCCTGCCCTCCTTCCACTCCCCATCTCTCTCATGTCTATGCTCAGCCTTATTTAACTATACATGGTTCCTAGAACACAGCATTTATTTGCACATCTCTCAGCCCACTGCCTATCACGTTCATTCCCATATTCTTAGTCAGACTCTTAATCATGGTGGGAGATTTGCTTTTCAAGAACATCTTTTCTTTGATTGAATCTCGTCTATATCATTTCACAATCATCTATATATATATTACATCTTTATGTCCCTGCCCCCCACTTTAACATGGGCATCTTGGGGGATGAGCATGCGTCTTAGCCATCTTTGTGGTGAAGAACCTGAGTATCTTCCATATAATAGACACTTCATCAATGCTTCATGAATTTCCTGCTACATTCTTGAATAAAATTAGGAAGTACAAGCCAGGAAAGTATTTTTGCAGGAGAAATTTCTGATAAGACTCAGTTCAGAAAGACATGCTAGAAAGAGATATTTGAGGAAACTTAGGGACTTTGATTATATTTCTAACTTTGAGTTAAGGGTGCCTTCTCTTTGGGAATCAGCATTAGCTCAGGGGAGCCAGAGGAGTTAGATTAGACTTCAAAACAGAAGAAACAGACATTTGGTGACTAAGTGCTACTTTGAGATTCTAAAATGAAGGGAGTACCCACAAAAAATTGAAAAGAAAAATTGAAAAAAATAATAATAAAATGAAGGGAAAGAGTCAAAGGAGAATGCTTACTTCAGCAGCACATATACTAAGAAAAAGATAGGGGTCAAAGGAGAAAAAGGTCAGTTTGTAAACAGTCATAAGTCCTGGTAAGCTCCACCTCGTGACAAAGATCATGCATTGAGCAGGAGTTTGACCTTCATCATGCAGTTGGAATGAGAATGCAGAGGATCAGATACATATAGTGGCTGGTTATTTTATTCCAGTTATAGAAGATTTAAAAATATGTCATTATTACAATAAATGGGTAATTTTTGTTTCTGTTTGTTAAATCTAGGACCAGTTGTTACTCAAGTTTATATTTTGTAAAAATTGTATCAATGGCAGTTAACAGAGTAACTCAGTAGCTGATGTTTATAATAATGATCTTGGATTCTAGGAAAGGTAAAATTTTACTCATAAAATGATCACATATGGCATGGAAATGTGGATTTTAAAGGGAGATTCTTATTCAAATTTCTAAAAATAAATTCTTTTTCTCACAGAGTTAACATTCAGTCTTAATTATTTGGAAAATATTATTCACATCTTATGAAGCACAAAAGAAATATAATACAAACTTGCTGGACATCTGAGTTTTAATTACACTAATTTTCTCAAATTTCTGTGCTCGTCGTGAGTCCAGAAATTTTTCTCTAATTAAAGATATAGCCAATGTTTTAAACATTTACTTAAAAAATATATATCGCTTGTGATCCCTCTGCTAAAGCAATTCAAACAAGCTGAGTTCTAAATCACTGGATAGAAACACTGCACAATCATCAATCATTCATTACTTTTCTCTTCTAAAACATATGTCTTTTCATTCGGCCACACAAATTCAATCATGTAGAAACTTTCTCAGAGAAGTAATCAATTTTAGGCATGTAAAGATTTTTACAATATTTTTTATGAAACTATCAATATTTTAAGAATGGTTCAACCCACTCTTGGCATTTGTAAATTCATATACCTAAAAGAAATATTATAAACACCTCAAAATAGAAAGCAGTATGTTTAAAACAGGTAGAAACACACCTAGGATTCGATCCTAAATTCACCCCTTTTCAGTCCTTTAGAAACACATTCCGTCTCTCTGTCAGTTTCTTCAGAAGCAAAAATTAGGTTGAAATAATTCCTACCCACAGAAGTGATAAAAAATTAGATGACAAAGCACATATAATACATTTAGTATAATACATTTAGTATAATACTTGACAGACCTTCATTGATTCTCAATGTCCTCCCATAACCAAGTGAGACATAAATTTTTTGTTTGTTTTAGTTTCAAAATTGCATCTTTAGTCCTTACCAATCATGGTTCCTAGTTGTCTGTAATTTACAGTGTTCAGCCTAATATTCTCATTTGCCTCTAGACTATTTCAAAAGAAAAACAAAATTTTTTCACCATCCATGATTTACTAGAGAACACAATCCTGTTGCCTGTTTTGTGTTGGTTCTCTCTGGACCCTTTGCTGACTGTTAGGTCAAACAGTTCCAAGTGTTTGTGCACTTTAAAAAGGAGATTAAACTGGATTTCCTCCTCTCACTGCCATTAGAAATTAGTTTGCATAAGTTTGACTTTCATGGTTTCGTTGGTCTTTGGACAGAATTCCAGATTTTTAGGAAAAATAAAAGATCTCCAGGGTCCTAGGCAATGTACCAGAAACCCCCGAAAGAGCAGCTGCTCTCAGGTGGTACAATAAGAGGGTTTGGTTTCTATGTTCCCCTTAACTTTCCATATGGAAGTTATATAAGTTGAAACCACTAAGCCAGTTCAATGAAACCCAAACTGCTGAGTTCTGCACTGCTTTAAAAGAGGACTTCTGTTTCCTAACCAGCATGAGCTTGGGAAATTTTCCATTTACTTGGAGAGCTGTCATGTAAGCTGCTCAACCAGTTTTGCTCAAAGATTCAACACAGATTGACTGAAATAGTGAAGCAAATCCAATTAGTTAACTTCTTTATTTCACTTTTAAAAAAAATTTATAACTGGTCAAAAATTCAAAGAGGTATTCTGTAATTTCCTTTCCTCCTTCTAAGGGAAGTAGCTATTGTTAAAAGGCTCAAACTTACTCATCTTTTTATTCCAAAAGCACTCAGTAGGCACTATAACACACAGTAGGCACATGGATCCATCTGTCCCCTTTTTCCTTAATGAGACCTCCCTAAAGCTGGATTCATAGCCTTAAACTCACACATCACATTAGACTTTTTATAATCCTAGGTTTATGAAAAGAACACATGAATTTCATACGGTAAGAAACTACTTAACATAATAGACTGCACTGCAAAGAACTACACCATTGCTGAAGTACAGTTCCAATTTGATTCATGGCTTACTGGACTTATATTACTGTTGGTGTTGGAAATTTGAAAGATATTAGAGAGTCAAAAATTTTTAAGTAATACATCATATCTATTTTTACATTAACAACGATTATATCCCCTTTTGGCTAATACAAAATAGTCTTTTTAATAAAAATTTTTCTACCTTTAACAGATCAAAAACTTTTGAATGCCAGGGAAACGTCTTATTAAGTCCAGACTGCTTGACTCAACACTACCACAGCACACTGCCTTAAGGACAATATCCTTAAAAGAGAAATTATGCTTTATGGAGAGCTTGTTGTATGCTGGAAACTGGACCGAGCTCTGGCCATGCCTTATACTTTCTTTTAACTTATTGTTCTGCCCTTTGAATTCAATAAATAAATACCTCATTCAAAAATGTATTTCAGACACACGAACATAATTACTGCCATTATGTATGTTGTATAATGCAGTTGTACATAATTAATATTATACATTACATAAGCAATAAATCAGTATATTAAGATATATTGGACCTTGAATTTACTTTCTTCAGGTAAATAAACACTTCATTATTTTTTCATCCATCAATGTTGAAATATATTATAAATTAAGTCATAGTAATCTAGCTTCCTTTCTTTGGAAAACACATGAGGAAAACATGCTATCTTGGGGCTGAAAATGTTACTATCAAAACACTTTTCTTCCATTTAAATGTAAGTTATATCAATCACTTTAACAGCTATACAAATAATTTTAACATTTATTTGATTTGGGGGAAACAATCACCTGAAGTTGGTTGAAAAGGAATTAGTGAATGATTAATGACCTCCATTTATGGCATTTCCTTTGAAAATGTCTCATTAAATATATCTTTAAACTTTTGTAATAAAAATAGAATCAAGAAGTTTGCTTTCTTCAAGAAGAGTAACTCCTTTGAAAACATTTATTTAACAGTTACTTATTACATATCCATTATGCAAAGCACTTGCAATTCATATATTCATTTATTCTTTGAACCTACTGATGACCTACTAAGCCAGACATTATGTTGAATCATACATTAGGTATTCTGTGTGTGTGTGTGTGTGTATGTGTGTGTGTGTGTGTGTGTGTGTGTGTATTTCAAAGCAAAAGTAAAATAGATTCTTCCTCCTCAAGTTATTCATGACCCAGAAAGAGAGGAGCAGGAAAATGACATGCTATATGTTGTGATTAATGCTGTTACAAAGCACAGAAATCTAACTGGAGCACGTAGCAGAGACAGCTATCTTTGACTTCATCCTGCAACTGGCCATGCTTCCTATAGGACATTGAGCCCCGTCTTGAGAATTCAGTAGAGTGAGGCAAGTGAAGAAGTAAGTTAGAATGTTCCAACCACTGGGTAAAGTATAAGCAATGACAGTATGTTGTAGAAGTTGCAAATGGTTCTATATACCTGGGTCTTAAGTTGGAGAAAGAGAAAGAAGGAGAGAGGTCAAGAAGTTGTAATGACGAAAAACTTGAGGCTACTATAACGATTGTCAGCCTTGGATGACATGTGGAACAAACTAACATCAAGAGAGATTGTCAATACAAAGAAAGTGATCATTTGATTATTGAGCAAATGCTGGAACATTTTTGCACATCTTTGAGTACTGGATGGTAAAAAATCAATAGAAGCCAACTATGAATTGAGTCTTAATAAACAATATTTCACTAAGCAGGAAGTAAGCCAACAGTTTATCTTTGTGCCATTATACTTTCTAAGCTACTTTGCTTAGCATGTTTGCCCAATAAATAACTAGCTATCACCACCCTACTCCACCTCTATACAACACCTTAGTATGGGTTAGTTCTAGAAAAGGAATTATTCTGTTCAACAACAAATCATTTGAAGACACGCCCAGCTGCTATCCACTTCCAATCTTACCAATTCCAGAAAAGATGGGCTGAAACGTTTTTAAAAAGATGGGGCCACTAAGCTAAGATCAGTCCCATCAGATTTTAGGCAAAATTATCAAATGAGCAAGATACGATTTTGTCTTTCCTACTTCCTTTTAAAAGCCCTCCTCTCCCTCCCCTTTCTCCATACTTTAGGCTAAGGGTTGACTTTCCAAATGGCCTCTATACTATAACACTTGAAGTCTTCTCTAAACCTGATACCAAATTGCAAATACTTTCTTAACCTTTACTCTCCTTGATCAAAAACTTAATTTCCTGAGCAAAGTCACTTCTTTAAAACTTCATCCATGGCAATCTCAAACATTGTAGGATTACATTTTCATGCTGTTCTAGAAATGCAACTACTTTTATTCCCAGTCTTTCATCAAACCTCTTACCCATCTTTTATTTTCTAGCACCCTGTGCTTCAGCATATTCTTCTTATTATAAAGCAAACCCAAAACAAGCAACCTTTTTTTCCTAGGTGCCTAGCTTATAAAAGAGAAGTGTCACCTGTCATTTTAATCCCCTAATGGAGCAAAGAATTGTAACATCTAGCCTACTCCCACTGCACAGCCTTTCTCTTTGGGAGTGGGAAGAAACATGTATTTGTGCCTCCAGCCCCCTTCTTCCTGGTGAGTTAGGAAGGGAAGAGAATTGAGCATTACTGCAAGAGACTTTGAGGTGGTTCCTCTAAATAAAATAGGGTTATTGTTTCTTTATTCAACAGTAGTCAGGGCTTGAGTATCCTGAATGTGCTCTACTAACAGGTTTGTGCATTAGGAGTTGGGCATATACATAAACCATATCAAAAAGCACTCTTTCTGCCAATACAATAGTCGTCCTCATTGAAAAAGTTAAAAGATAAACATAGAATCCTGAGTAACCAGTGTTCAGATGGTGCAACTATCTTCTCTAACAGGAGAATCCATCCTATCCTCCATCATGAAGGTTCCAGTTTGGATGCTAATGGAGGGAGAGGAATGAAGAATCCCGGCTCCTTCCTCTCAATTATCCATTCCTAAAGGGGCAGAATCTGAAACCACAGACTTTTCTCTCAGTTGTCCACCAAAAAGGATCAGAATACATTGTCAGTTATGAATAGCATTAACCATTTATGCCTATATACAACTACATAACAATGAGTACCATAAAGTATACACCAAAATAATAGCCACTGTGAATTGTCTACCAATTATTAAATACTTCACAAGATGTTATTTCTAATCCTGTCTTAAAGTCTGCAAGATAAGAGAAATTATTTACCATTTTCAGATGCAGAAACTGAGGCTCAGTGACTGTATGACATTTCTGAGTCATAGTTAAATTAAGGCAACACGATTTAAATCCATGTTTATCTCGCTTCAGGGTACATATATGTATATACATGGGATTATAGATCAGTGGATAGATAGAAAGATTATAGATATATAGAGACATGAGAGAAAGTAAGAGAGAGAAAGAGAGAAGTAAACAACGTTGTTGGTGAACCTGTTAGAACAGCCACTAAGAATGGGAAAACACAACATATTTTGGTATGTATTATTCTGAAACTGAATAATAATACTGTTAGATAAACCAGTTACCATGAATTCTCTATGTCTTGAAAAGCAGTTAATCTGTCTGCTTTAGGCATGCAATTGATTTCAACAATAAAGGTATTGGCATTTTCCAAATTATGAAGTCTTTTACTTAAAGATACACTAAGAAGAAAAGCAACAAGACAGGCTACCTGTGGAAAATATAAAAAATGCAAATGTTGATTCTCTTCATCTAGGCACTCAGTCAATCAATAACAATATCTAATTGTTATCTATTGTGTGTCCAATATTTTCCAAATTCTGCCTTGTGTATGCTATAAAAAATAAATAACAACTCTCCAAGCCCATGAGAAATTATCAGTTTTATTCAGGTAACAAGAACATAAACAATTCATTGTTTCATAGAGTGTGCACTAAGAGGTAGAAATCAAATTCTGTGGGATTCTGGGGGAGTTGCAATAAAACTCTTCCTGAGAGTATAGGGAAAATTTTTACTGAATAGGACTTCTGAGATACACACAACTGCATTTTGTTTTAAAAAAAATAGGAGTGAAAACATGTCACGAAAACAGAAAACATAGAAGATAATTTTCACGTGGACATTAAGCTATCTCGATTCATGACCTTATTACTCAATGACTGCTTAGATGCAGCTATCTTCCACTTGACCTGGTCTTTCACTCTTAAGCTATTCCAATCGCTCAACAATCTATTGCCACCATTCTTAAAGCAATAGCTTCACCAGTTTCCTCCCTGTTCAAGAGCCTATTTACAAAACAATCACAAGTATCTTTTCCTGTCTTAAGGAAAGCACTAAACTGTGACCCGCTTCCCCACCACAAAATCCTACAACTTCATTTCCTATTTCTACCATCTCAGATATCTTGCAGATATCTTTTTTTCCTCCATATGTTCTACTATTCCCTAGGTACTGAATCCTTCCCCTTGAACTTTAAGAATGCCGAGGGTTGCCAATCTCAAAATAAAACAGAAAGGATGTTCTCTTCACTCCCACTTTAATATTTAATTCAATATCATTTCATCATGGAAATCTCTGATTCTACACTCTGCATAACAAGACCCCCTGCTATGTGGTTCTATGGCTTCGGTTGTCTTCCTGCCAAACACATACATAATCATTAAATTATTGTGTTATTACTCAATGAATGCTTATACAGTTATACTTCATGTTGTCTGTTTTTATTTACCACTGAAATCCCAAAACCTAGTATAATGACTGGCACAAAATAACACTAACTAGACAATTTGTAAAATATATAATTGACTGTCCAACTGACTGAATAAATGAATCCTACCCCCTGCACACATTTTGCTGTAATTATGTCCCATACCAGTATGTACCAATTTTATTCCACCACCTTAATGCCCTCCTATCCTGTACTTATGACCTCATGGAAAACTGTCCCCAATTTTACTCTATACAAATTATGCAAATCTTTCAAATTTCTACAAAAGTTCTATAAAGCCTTTTATTTTCTTAATATCTTCCATTTCTAATTTATCATACAATTTAAACCTAAGTTGAATAAAGATAATAGAGGAAGCTTTAATATATTTTGTTTTATTTTCATTAATATTTTTTGATCCATAATCTTTTATAAAATGATAAAAATATCTTGCATAGCCAATTTTTGCCACAACATAAAATTTTAAAAACATTTTTATTGTTGAAAATGATGCCAATATTCACACCTAACATCATATTTAATGGTAAAAAGCTGAAGACTTTTCCTTTAAGATCAGGAAAAAGACAAGGATGCCCACTCTCATCACTTCTTTTCAACATAGCACTCGAAGTACTAGCCAGAACAATTAGATAAGAGAAAGAAATAAAAGGCATCAAAATAGGAAATGATGAAGTAAAATCATCTTCATTTGCTGACAACATGACCTTATATAAAGAAAATCGTAATGACTCCACCAAAAAAAACTACTAGAACTGAAAAACAAATTCAGTAAAGTTACAGGATACATAAATCAACTTACAAAAATCAGTGGTATGTCTACACACTAACAGCAAAGTGTCTGAAAAAGAAATAAGAAAACAATCCTATTTATAATAGCATCAAAAAATCAAAATATTTAGGACTACATTTAACCAATAAAGTGAAAGATCTCTACACTGAAAACTATAAAACATTGATGACAAATGAAAAGATATCCCATGTTTATAGACTGGAAGAATTAATATTTTTAAAAGGTCCATATTACCCAAAGTGACCTACAGTTTCAATGCAATCCTTATCAAAATCCCAATGTCATTCTTTACAGAAATAGAAAAAACAATTATTTCTTTTTTTTTTTTTTTTTTGAGGCAGAGTCTCACTCTGTCACCCAGTGCAGTGGTGTGATCTTGGCTCACTGCAACCTCCACCTCCCAGGTTCAAGTGATTCTCCTGCCTCAGCCTCCCAAGTAGTTGGGACTACAGGTCACGCCACCATACCCGGCGAACTTTTTGTATTTTTAGTAGAGACGGGGTTTCACCATGTTGGTCAGGCTGGTCTCAAACTCCTGACTTCATGATCTGCCTGTGTTGGCCCCCCAAAGTGTTGGGATTACAGGCATAAGACACCACACTTGGCCCAGAAAAAACAATTATAAAATTTGTACGGAATCATAAAAGACTCCAAATAGCCAAAGCAATGTTGACCAAAAAGGACAAACCTGGAGTCGTCATGCTACAGGATTTCAAAATAATATACAAAGCCACAGTAATCAAAACAGCAAAGCAGCATGATATTGGCGTAAAAACAGACACCTCAACTAATGGTATAGGACAGAGAGCACAGAAATAAACCCACACATCAATAGTCAATTGATTTCTGACAAGGGCACTAGGGACACACAATGAGAAAAAGACAGTCACTTCAATAAATGCTGTTGAGAAAACAGAAGTCCACATACAGAAGAACCAAAATGGACTCTTATCTCACCCCTAATACAAGAATAAACTCACAATGGATTAAGGACTTAAACATAAGACTGGAAACTGTAAAACTACTAAAAAGTACTTAGGGGAGAGTACCCATATTGGTCTGGGCAGAAATTTCTTGGATATGACCCCAAAAGCACAGGCAATAAAAGCAAAAATAGACAAATGGGATTGCATCAAACCAAAAAACTCTGCACAGCAAAGAAAACAATTCAGGGAGTAAAGAGACAACCCACAGATTAGGAGAAAATATTTGCAAATCATATGCTGGATAAGGGGCTAATATCCAAAATATGCAGGGAACTCAAACTACTCAATAACAAGGAAAAAAATAACTTTAAAAATGGGCAAGGAATTTGAATAAACATTTCTCAAAAGAAGACATACAAATGCCCACAGTGCTTAACATCTCTAGTCATTAGTAAAATGCAAATTAAAACCACAATGACATATCACTTCACCCTGTTACGGTGGCTACTATCAAGATGAAAGATAACAAATGTTGTTAAGGATGTGGAAAAAAGGGGAAGACTTTATATTATTGATGCTACTGTAAATTAGTACAGCCACTTTGGAAACTAGCATGGAAGTTCCTCACAAAAGTAAAAATACAATTACCCTATTATCCAGCAATCCCCACTACTGGGTGTACACACAAAGGAATTAAAATTAGTATGCCAAAGAGATGTCTACACTCCCATATTCATTGCAGCAATATTCATTATAGCCAAGATATGGAAATAACTTTTGTCTATAAACTGATGAATAATTTTAAAGTGTGTATATACATATACATATATATACACACACAATGGAATACTTTTCAGCCTTTACAAAAACAGGAAATTCTGTCATTTGCAACAACATGGATGAACCTGGAGGACATTATGTTAAGTGAAATAAGCCACACACAGAGAGACAAACACTGTATAATCTCACTTATATGTGGAAACTAAAAAAGTTAAACTCATAGAAGTAGAGAGGAGAATGGTGGTTACCAGAGGCTGGGAGTTGGGAAGTGAACAGGAAAAGAGGAGATGTTGGTCAATAAGTACAAAGTTATAGTTAGATAGGAGGAATAAGTTCTGGTGTTCCATTGCACAGGAAGATGACTTTAGTTAATAATAATGTAGCAGATATTTCAGAATAGCTAAAAGAGAGGAGTTTAGGTGTTCTCACCACAGAGAAATAACAAATATTTGAGGTAATGGATATGCTAATCACTCTGATTTGATCATTCCACAATCTAAACATGTGTCAAAACATCACATTATACCCCATAAATATACACAATTACTATTTGTCAAAAAATTAATTAAAAAATGGTGCCAGTCTTTAATTAAACTAAAAATTCCTTTTTATTTTTGCCATTGACTCTGGGAAATGATCCAAACTGTATTTAATGAGGGTAAGTAATGGATTGCAGATAAGTACTGAAAGATTAGTATGCAGAGACATCCCTAAGGGACCCAAGTAGGTTGAGAAGCTGCTCTCTAGCAGAGAGAATATTGATACTGGGAGAGCAAGGAGATAAGATGGTAACCTAAAAGGGAAAAGTTTAAACAGTCCCCCATCCTCACCCACACTTCCATCAAGGACTCGGGGAGCAGACAGAAATAACAAAGTTGGACTGGTTCAGAGGCTTTCTGGGAGAAACTGAATGGTAAGATAAAAACTTTATGACCAGAGAGGAAAAAGTCAGGGCAGACAGAGCCAAATAAAGTTAGAAATAAAAAGAACATATGGTCACTTCCATGATTAAGCACATGCAATGTAAGTTCCTAGACATGCTAGGGTTCTGAACAGAAAAGTGAGGTTCATTCAAAGAATGCAAGGAAAACATTAAAGGTTGTGTGTGAGTTCAAAGCACTTACAGGCTGAAGTTTGTGCAGAATTTTTCAATGTCTGTATGCCTTCTCCCCTTTTCTGCCCTTTTAATGTTTGGTATGGATTTTAGATAATGGTTTTTGTAGTTAAGCCAGTTCATGAAACACTGTAGCCTAAAACTAGAGGATCAGGAAACCCAGGAATATTCCATAATGCCATGAATAATTTAAATTTACTGTCTATAACATTAAAATAACAGCTTAAATTAGAACTGATAGTTCTTTTTCTACTTAAATATTCTGACCTAAAGTCCAAAGAAGAAGTGGCTTACATAGCAAAAAACCTCTCCTGTAAAATGTGAAATTTTTAACTTTCAACTACTTGTTATTTAACAGAAACCTAGAGTTGTAAATCTTTATTAAATAGCTGCAGTTAATATTTCAAATATATAATTCAAAATCCATGGCTTGTACAGATAAGAATTAAGGGTATGCAAAATATTAGAGAAAAAGAGAGAGAGAAAGCTCACTCACAAAGAGGGAGAAAGAAATACACAGACTTTGAAAGAGGTAAGGAGGAAGATTAGGAAAACAGAGAATTCATTACAAGAGGCAAAAGAGACATAAAATGGAAAGTCAAAGAAGAACACAAAGATCAAGATTAAGGGAGAGAATTCTGAGAAGACACGTTCAGGATAGGGGTGTGGCTGAGACCTGTATGTGTCACTGGGTTAGTCAAGCTGTCATTCAATGGAGTAGGTGACTCAGAATCATCATACATTGCCTCTATCTCTTTGAAATGCTAATCAACCATAAGTCTAATATTAATAGCTAGTCCAAGAAGCATAAGATAATTTGAATGGAAAGCTTAAAGCAAAATTACAAAAAAGAAAGAAAGAAAGAAAGAAAAGTAAAAGGAGATGTACCTTTAGCCTCTTCTCCTCCTCTCATTTTTTTTTTTTTCAATTTGGTGCTGCTGTCTACTTTTGCTTGACACACTTACCCTTTCTCTGGCTTCTTTCCTGAGTCAGTCTTGCTTGTTTATCTGGCTACTAACACATTCCAAGTAAGATTCTAAGTAAAATTAAAGTGTCTGTATTTCCCAGCAGCATGCATCATTTTTTAAGAAGATACCTTTTAATCTACACAATAAATTGAAGAATAGCATGCACTGGTCCTGGGAGTTAGTAGTGAATAAAGCGCCACCGTCTCAGAACTAGAGCAGAATTCAAAGAAGCCAGTGCCAATATGGCAGGATGAACATGTAGAACCTGAGCCAGGCAACACATGGCAGGGAGTCTATAAGAAGAAAGATGGCTTGGAGGACAGAGAAAGAATGGGAGCATTGTGTTCACTGCTCCATTCTGTTCATATTGTTTTATAGGATGGTTTCTCCCAGACTTCTCACCTGATGCTTTTGCTGAAAAGTTTATTTGGACAGTCTTGAGATTAAAGTGACTTCTAGGGATAGAAGGCACTAAAAAACCCCAAAACCACATACATAAACACATAAAAATAAACATATGGGCCACTAAAATATTTCTTTTTTTCTGTTATTAATTCAAAACAATGGGTGACCAGCCACCATCACACTCACTTTACTTTTTAATATCATAAATAAAACGCGGTGTTTGGCACCAAATAGAAGCAAGGAAGAAGAGAAGGAAGCGAGGGAGAGAAGAAACAAAGCAAAATGGATTGCTTATTAAGAATTAGATAAATGAGGCCGGGCGTGGTGGCTCACGCCTGTAATCCCAGCACTTTGGGAGGCTGAGGCGGGTGGATCACAAGGTCAGAAGATCGAGACCATCCTGGCTGACACGGTGAAACCCCGTCTCCACTAAAAATACAAAAAATTAGCCGGGCGTGGTGGCAGGCGCCTGTAGTCCAGCTGCTCAAGAGGCTGAGGCAGGAGAATGGCTTGAACCTGGGAGGCGGAGCTTGCAGTGAGCTGAGATCGCGCCACTGCACTCCAGCCTGGCTGACAGAGCGAGACTCCTTCTCAAAAAAAAAAAAAAAAAAAATTAGATAAATGATACCATGGCATTAAAAAACTCAGCTGTAGAGACTCTACCCTCAATGGAATAAAGTCTATTTGCACATGGGAAGATTACATTTGCCATCTTGCACTTGTGAAACTATTTTACGTGCACATACTGTCAAAGAAGATTACACATTATCCTAGGGATTTTCACCAGTGCAGCATCTTAGGGGATAAAGTATCCCTTTAAATGTATTATTCAAAATGGATACACTTTATATGTGTCTTTATACAAATCTTAGAGTTGGAAAAAAGCATAAACTATAGCCTCCTAGGATTATAATTTGAAATATTCAGGTCTGTCATCAAGAAAGCAGTCTGTACTCTGAGTAGCATTATCTCTATGGCTTCATCATACTGCCAACATTGTATCACTATAGAATATGTCTCAGAAGAGATTATTAACTGACACAAGTAACAATACATGCCAAATACTTCTTATGCATTATTTCAATCCTCAAAACAGTTTTATGAGGTGGGCATTATTTTCTCCCCACTTATACTGAGGAGGAAACTGATATTAGAGAAGTTCAGCTACCTGCTGTTGGTAACAAGCCTAGTTGATGGTGAGGTTCATGGTTTGAACCCAGATCAGCTCTATCTCAGAACTCAGCCTGAGCTACATCCTAACTGCTTTTCATCTATCTCAGTGTACTTCAAATTCTGTTCAACAGGAGCCCCAACCTTTGAAAGAGCTACCTCTGGGGTCACCGGAGAGGATGGAAAGTTAATTGAGTCATGGAGAAACCTTCCTTCTTATACAAAAGCCAAGCAGCTCCACTTAAACACAGTTTAAAAGTTTGAGTCCAGATCATAATTTAACTAGAAAAAAAATATTTCTATTGTTGACAGGAGAAAAAACTTTGAAAACCACTGATCTAGATTTTCAAAACTTGATTATTTTTCCATGATAATCTTGAATTATTGAAGAGCTGTGAGCACCAGAACCATATGGGGTTCATCAAGAACTAAAGAGTATGGAAAAAACACAATTCTACCTCTGCATTAATAGTAAATGAACCTTAGAGACAGCTGATCAATAATTAAAAATGAAAACAAGTGTTCTTTAATTTACTTGCAGGCTACAGCCCAATTCTGAAATAATAGGGAAAAAACCCAAACCCATGCAGAAAAACACAGAAAAATAAATATATGGGTCACTGAAATATTTCATTTTTTGTAAACTGGATTTTGTATTTTGGTTGTACTGCACCAAATTTTCACCAGTGAGAGCTACCTTTTCTCCTGATTGAGAATCACTTTCCTTCCTTGACCATGTTTCCCTGCTCCCTTCTTCTTTCCATTGCTCTTCTCTATAAAGGAATGAGAGGTGAGAATAAAAAGAAAGAATATT
The DNA here is from genome assembly GCF_000001405.40 of Homo sapiens. Taxonomy (NCBI): domain Eukaryota; kingdom Metazoa; phylum Chordata; class Mammalia; order Primates; family Hominidae; genus Homo; species Homo sapiens. The sequence continues at coordinate 66,031,282 of NC_000001.11, read as the reverse complement.
AATTGGGTTTTTATTAATCCACAGAGAAAGGGTGTTTTCCTCTCACCTAAAATTCTCTAATCAATTATTTTAGTCTATTTACTTTAAATACCTGGAAATGTAGTCTTTGGCATTAGAAGTCCAAGGGTTTTTTTGTACAATTTATTTTATTTTTATTAATTTCAACTTTTATTATGGATTAAAGGATATACATGCAGGTTTGCTACATGGGTAAATTGCCTGTGGTTGAGGCTTGTGGTCCCAATGACCCTGTCACCCAGGCAGAAAGCATAATATCCAACAGATGGTTCTTCAGCTCATGCCCTCTTCCCTCCCTCCCTCTTCTAGTGGTCCCCAGGGTCTATCATTCCTGTATTTACTTTCATGAGTATTAAATGCTTAGCCCCCACTTATAAGTGAGAACATGCAGTTTTTGGTTTTCTGTTCTTGCATTAGGTCACTTATGATAATGGTCTCCAGCTGAATCCATGTTGGCTGCAGAGGACATGATTTCATTCTTGTTTAAGGCTGCATCGTATTCCATGTTGTATATGTACCACTTTTCTTTATCCTATCCTCTGCTGATGGGCTCCTAGGTTGATTCCATGTCTTTGCTATTGTGAATAGCACTGCGATGAACATATGGGTGTATATGTCTTTTGATATAATTATTTTTCTTTGGGTATATACCCAGTAGTGGATTGCTGAGTCAAATAGTAGATTGAATAAGGAAGAAAGCAAAAACCTGAACAGAACAATAAAAAGTTCACAAATTGAATCAGTAATTTAAAAAACTACAAAAACTACCAACCAAAAGAAGCCCCAGAACAGATGGCTTCACAGCCAAATTCTACCAGACATGCAAGGAGAACTGATATTAATCCTACCAAAGCCCTTTCAAAAAGTCAAGGAGGAGGGGCTTCTCCCTAACTCATCCTACAAATCCAGCATCTTCCTGATACCAAAATCTGGCAAAGACACACTGAAAAAAGGGAACTTCAGGTCAATATCCCTGATGAACATAGATGCAAAAATCCTCAACAGAATACTAGAAAACCAGGTCCAGCAGCACATCAAAAGGTTTATTCACCACAATCAAGTAGGCTTTATTCCTGGAATGCAAGGTTGGTTCAACATATGCAAATAAATAAATGTGATTCACCCCATAAACAGAATCAAAACCAAAAACCATATGGTCATCCCAATAGATGCAGAAAAAGCCTTCAATAAAATCCAACATCCCTTCATGATAAAAAAAAAAAAAAACCCTCAACAGATTAGGCATTGAAGCAGTCCAGGTTTAAATACCAATTCTGTCACTATGCTTGACTATCCCACTTAATCTGAGATTTCTGAAATTAGACTTCATAATTGTGGTAAGCAACAAAAGGAATATTGCTTGAAAGTACCTTTGTATATCTAGCAAAGATCATTTATTGTTATAATCACTGGGTGAGAAATTTGAAAGTGGTTATTTCAAATTTAAGCATATATAAAATCAAATTCATCCTAAATTCAGTATTTAAAATATTTCATTATTGCATGTCTAGATGTAGGAAGATGAATTCATTATGCTGTAAAGATTACAATTAAGAAGAAACTTTGTCAGTAGTGCTTATTATTATAGTAACATATGACTTATATTTCATATCAAAAAGCAAAAGTAACATTCATACATACTATATATAAATTAATATTGGTATTGTCTATTTTAGCTTAAGAAAAAAGAGTCAATAGACTCTTCATCTTTCATTTTTATCTGAAACATTTTCAATAATGACAAATTGAAAAAGTTTGCTGTAAAATATTTGTAATATAAATCATATTTATCTCAAACTGTTTCAACTCAAACTCTCTTGCATTAAATTACATTCTACCAACTTAGAGCAAGCTTCCTATCTAATCACATACAGATATGGTTTGGCTGTGTCCCCACCCAAATCTCAGCTTGAATTGTATCTCCTAGAATTTCCATGTGTTGTGGGAGGGACTCAGGGAGAGGTAATTGAATCACAGGAGCCGGTCTTACCCATGCTACCCTCGTGATAGTGAATATGTCTCACGAAATCTGATGGGTTTATTAAGGGTTTCTGCTTTTGCTTCTTCCTTATTTTTCTCTTGCCACCACTATGTAAGAAGTGCCTTTCACCTCCCACCATGATTCTGAGGCCTCTGCAGCCATGTGGAACTGTAAGTCTAAATAAACTTTTTTTCCTTCCCAGTCTTGGTTATGTCTTTATAAGCAGTGTGAAAAAGGACTAATACAGTAAATTGGTACCAGTAGAGTGGGGCGTTGCTGAAAAGATATCTGAAAATGTGGAAGTGACTTTGGAACTGGGTAACAGGCAGAGGTTGGAACAGTTTGAAAGGCTCAGAAGAAGACAGGAAAATGTGGGAAAATTTGGAACTTCCTAGAGACTTCTTGAATGGCTTTGCCCAAAATGCTGATAGCAATATGGACAATAAAATTCAGGCTGAGGTGGTCTCAGATGGAGATGAGGAACTTGTTGGGAACTGGAGCAAAGGTGACTCTTGTTATGTTTTAACAAAAAGACTGGTGGCATTTTGCCCCTCCCCTAGAGATTTGTGGAACTTTGAACCTAAAAAGGATGATTTAGGGTATCTGATGGAAGAAATTTCTAAGGCAGCAAACTGTTCAAGAGGTGACTTTGGTGTTGTTAAAGGCATTCAATTTTATAAGGGAAGCAGAGCATAAAAGTTTGGAAAATTTGCAGCCTGACTATGCAATAGAAAAGAAAAACCCATTTTCTGGGGAGAAATTCAAGCTGGCTGCAGAAATTTGCATAAGTAGCAAGGAGTCTAATGTTAATCCCCAAAACCATGGAGAAAATGTCTCCAGGCCACATCAGAGACCTTCACAGCAGCCCCTCCCATCACAGGCCTTGAGGCTTAGGAAGAAAAGGTGGTTTTGTGGACTAGGCCCAGGTTCCCTATGCTGTGTGTAGCCTAGGTACTTGGTGCCCTGTGTCCCAGCCACTCCAGCCTTGGCTGAAAGGAGCCAACAAACAGCTCAGGCTGTGGCTTCAGAGGGTGGAATCCCCAAGCTTTGGCAACTTCCACTTGATGTTGAGCCCAGAGATGCACAGAATTCAAGAACTGAGGTTTGTGAACCTCCGCCTAGATTTCAGAAGATGTATGAAAATGCACGCATGCCCAGGCAAAAGTTTGCTGCAGAGGCGGCACCCTCATGGAGAACCTCTGCTAGGGCAATGCAGAAGGGAAATGTGGGGTTGGAGCCCCCACACAGAGTCCCTACTGGGGCACTGTCTAGTGGAGCTGTGAGAAGAGGGCCACCATCCTCCAGACACTAGAATGGTAGATCCACCGATAGCTTGCACCATGTGCCTGGAAAAGTCGCAGATACTCAACACCCACCTGTGAAAGCAGCCAGGAGGGAGGGCTGTACCCTGCAAAGTCACAGGGGTGAAGCTGCCCAAGACCATGGGAACCCACCCCTTGCATCAGTGTGACCTGGATGTGAGACATAAAGTCAGGGATCGTTTTGGAGCTTTAAAATTTGACTGCCCCGTTGGATTTTGGACTTGCATGGGCCCCATAACCCCTTTGTTTTGGCCAATCTCTCCCATTTGGAATGGCTATATTTACCCAATGCCTGTACCTCCATTGTATCTAGGAAGTAACTAGCTTGCTTTTGATTTTACAGGCTCATAGGTGGAAGGGACTTGCCTTGTCTCAGGTGAGACTTTGGACTGTGGATTTTTGGGTTAATGCTGTCACGAGTTAAGACTTCAGGGGATTGTTGGGAAGGCATGTTTGGTTTTGAAATGTGAGGACATGAGATTTGGTGGGGCCAGGCACAGAATGATATGGTTTGGCTGTGTCTGAATCCAAATCTCAATTTGAATTGTATGTCCCAGAATTTCCACATGTTGTGGGAGGGACCCAGGGGGAGGTAATTGACTCATGGGGGCCAGTCTTTCCCGTGCTACTCTTGTGATAGGGAATAAGTTTCACAAAATCTGATGGGTTTATCGGGGGTTTCTGCTTTTGCTTCTTCCTCATTTTTCTCTTGTTGCTGCCATGTAAGAAGTGCCTTTTTCCTCCAGCCATGATTCTGAGGCCTCTGCAGCCATGTGGTAAGTCCAGTTAAACCTCTTCTCCTTCCCAGTCTCAGATATGTCTTTATCAGCAGCATGAAACAGATTAATACACATATTTTTAGATTTTAGTAGATTATAATATTAAAAAGTAAAATACATTAAAGCTAACAGGTAAAACAAAGGCCAAGAATTTGAATATGCACTTTCACAGTAACACTGGCACAAACTAATAGGATTATTCAAAACAAATCTTAGTTTGCAGCTGTTAAGAAAAACGTAAGTTTACTGAGCCATGTATTGTAGAATAGTCCTTTGCAGGCATATGTTACAACATTGCAAGGTGACGCACACACCCTCCCTCAGGACGCCATAATTGGTTGGTTTGTTGAGGTGAAGAACACGCATTTGTGTTATGAGGATATACTTTCATCTATTTTGTTTTGTGACCAAAGTCTGAAATAAAGCTTACAGAAATTGAAGTGGAGTCTGGCAATGAGAATAACAGTTAATATTTAGTGAGCACACACTATATACCAGGCACATTGCTGAGTGCTTTATATGAATATCAATAATAGCAACCACATAGTAGTTATTATGTGCTAGTCCTCAGAACTTTTATATATTAACCTGTGGTATTCTCACAACAAACCCATAAATTAAGTGTTATTATTACCTCATTTTACAAATCAGACAACAAAACATAGAGATTAAATGCTTCTGTCCTGTTACCATAGGTAGCAGAACAGGGACATATACCCAAAGAATCTGACTTCAAGCCTGAGAGCTTAATCCCGAAGCTATGCTGCCATGATACAGCCTCACCTAATTAGGGCCAGATGGGGATAATAGAGGACATGAGGCACAATGTTAGCTAGACATAGAAAGGGACCATTGACATGAAAAGTCTAGTATAAGTTTTATTCTGAGTGAGACTAACCATTTACCCAAGATCCAAAGCCAGGGTGGGTCAAAGCTGAAAGTGTAGGCATGAGTCCTGACCATGCCTTCTACTGTAATAGGATGTGAACCTCTTGAGGAAACACTGTCATTCATGCTTCAAGGGCATTTCCTAGGTTTGTAAAAGTGAAAAACTGAACTTGTATGTACAGTTTCATTTATAAAGCAATATTGCCCAAATGTTGCAGATATTTACATTTTTATTTGAAGTTGTAAGTCTAAGGATCAAGAAAACAATAAAACATGTAACTGACCAGAAAAATAATTATATTATTAAAGGTTTGTATTCTGAGACATATACATTTGATGAGATTCTTCAAAATTGAAACTAAAAACTAAATTATGAAAATGGACTTGCCATCTTAAGTTTGACACTTAATACTCTAACATTTTTCAGAGCTCACAACTAAACTTAAAGCACAAACCTTTGTGGTTGTTAGCAGTCCTAAATTTTTACTGTACCTAAGTACATGGGATAATTTGCTTGCTGGATATTGCAGAGAATCAAAATAACTTGGTAAACAATTAGTCATGAAATGGGGAACAGGGGTTAAGTTTAAAGTTGGGGGCCTGGGACACCCAGAGAATGGTGACACCATACACAGAATTAGGAAACTCACATGGAAACATTAGTCTGGGAAGAAATTATGAGTTCAGTCTCAAGCTAAACCTGTGGTGTGGTAATCCAAACTGGCATAGCAGACAATAGGTAAGAAGAGTATGAAGTCATTATTTTCTTTCTTTTATTTTCTATTTCATACATTTTGCCTCTGCATCATTGTGTTACTGGAAAATATTTATTTTTAATGAGATCCCAGATTTATACTCTATGAGTTATTCCAACTGGGTTATTAGGCTTGTAAAGAGATAAGGAATTTAGCTTACTTGACAGTTTCAAACTTCTCCTTTTTATCCATCTTTATAGTGTTTTACTTCTATAGTACTTTTATATTGAAAGTACAAAGCTTTCATATAAATTGTTTTTCATAAATTACTTCTATCACTTCTTTCCTTGAAGTACTCTGTTTCTTAATATTGTCTCAAAGCCTATTTTTTGAAAAACTTGGTGAGTTCTAATATGTTCTTAAGCCAAATCTTAAATGCTACCATATTGTGATCACTTGACTCCAGTTAGGAAAACAACTAAGATGTAATGGACAACTAAAATGCTGGTTTTCTAGAAAGGCAGTATATTTAAATAATTAACAAAGCTATAAATCATACTTGTGGGTTATATAGGGCACTGTATAAACTATTAAAATATATAGCTATATATACTTATGTTAAATCTTTAAAAACATCTATTTAGTTCATATACATAATACTTTAGTTAAGTAATTCATATTTATAATTTGAAAATAAATATATAAATATTGTATTTGCCTCTTTTTTACACTGATAGGCTATGAAATAAAATACATCACCATTCTAGAGGATATTAGGATATTAAAATGCTCATTCCACATCCTTCACTTACCAAGGAATACACCAACTTTACCTATATATCAAGAGTTTACCATTATTTAATGGTGAAAAAGATTCATCTATCCATCTATTTACTGATCCAAAAAAATGTATTAAGAATCTGCCTTCTCATAGAAGACAGTATTATATCCATGTTTATCAAGTTATCATTTGTAGGGCTCAGAAAATTCCTTGCATATATTATATGACCTGTACATTTTGTTGAATAAACGTATGAATTGACACAGTTGGTGTAGCTTCTTTGGAAAGAAACTGGAAAAATCTATTTAAAGTCATAGGGACAAATTCTAGTTTAATGCAATACCTTTCTAAGTGTTGGTCAACAGCAGAATGGCTTCCTTGGGGGTAGCAAGCTTTCCATATCTGAAAATGTTCAGACAGAACCTAGTAATCACAGAAGTGATGCAAGTTGGATGGCTATCTGATTGAGTAAGGGGTAAATGAGATGATCTCTGAAGCACTTCCAACTCTAAGGTATAGTGATGCTAGATTAATATTTTTTAGAGATATTCTGAAAATAACTTGGTAAGAGACCTACTGAATACTATCAAAAATAGTGTTTATCTATTATTTGCACCCATTATTGATTGTTTTTCTATCCTCTAGGACTTTTTGTAAGTATAAGCAACTCTACTTCACATTAATGGAGGATACTTGTATGGACAGTCTCTCAGAATGGAGAACACCAAAGTCAAGAGGCTGGCTGGAATATGAAAAGTAGTGGGTAGGCAGCACAAAAGGTAAAAAATAAACCGCCTGAAACAATTCACATTATTAATTATCAAAATATGTATAACTGAGATCAGTATGTAGTATTTTTTTTCTTTTTCTTTCTGAGGCTGTTTTCCTGAGTTCAACTCTCCACTTGAGACACATATAGTAATGAAGTACTAATATAAGAAACAAAATAATAACTGAAATCAAGAGTGCCCTAAATAACCCTACCCAACACAGATCCTTTATTCCTAAGGCTTTATCTCCTAAACATTATTATTAAGTTTACACTATATCTTATTACTCTTTTTACTACATAAATGGTAGTTGATCTAATGTTGGTTTCTGCTTTCATGGTTCTTTTCTCCCTCAGGTGGATTATAGGCTAATTAAAAATAAAAATTTTGCCTTGTAATTTTCTTCAATTGAAATCAATAGAATGTTGTTAACCATTTCCTTCACCTGGAATTCCCTCTTCCACCTGAATGCTTTCATTACTATAGGGCCTGCTATTGCATGGAGCTTTTCACTTGTTCCATAGCCCTCAGAAACAACTTCCTTCTCTGAACTCTTACTGTGTTTATTGTCTCTGCCACTAATTGGATCTGAGCATATGCTACCTTGTTCTTGGCAATACTTCTTTTGTCTGTGCCAAAAAATGCTCTTTCCCCTGGAGACAAAGTGTGCCAACATTGTGAACTGATAAGCCTATCTATCCTCCTTAGTGCATAGGAAACTTTGAGGAACCCAAAAATATTGCCTAAGATCTGGTGTGAAGGCCAAAAGGTTTTAACAGAATGTAGATAATGTCCGAGTACCACACAGCCTAACACAGCAAATTGAAGTACAGCTGCATTAACTACCTTTTAGATCCACCAGGATGACAGAGCTTATAAAGTATGCCTAAAGCTAAGACAACAAAAAGCCTCAGTAGCACCTTAACAAATCAAAGATAGAGGCTATTGGGAGCTCTCCAAGGTACCAACAGATTGTCACCATTTACAATCCCCACACAATCAATGGTAAGAGTCCAAGACTAAACCAGGAAGAAGTTGAATCCCTGAATAGACCAATAACAGGTTCTGAAATTGAGGCAATAATTAATAGCCTACCAAGAAAAAAAGTCCAGGACCAGACAGATTCACAGCCGAAATCCACCAGAGGTACAAAGAGGAACTGGTACCATTCCTTCTGAAATTATTCCAATCAATAGAAAAAGAGGGAATCCTCCCTAATTCATTTTATGAGGCCAGCATCATCCTGATACCAAAGCCTGGCAGAGACACAACAAAAAAAAGAGAATTTTAGATCAATATCCCTGATGAACATCGATGCAAAAATCCTCAATAAAATACTGGCAAACCGAATCCAGCAGCACATCAAAAAGCTTATCCACCAAAATCAAGTTGGTTTCATCCCTGGGATGCAAGGCTAGTTCAGCATATGCAAATCAATAAACGTAATCCAGCATATAAATAGAATCAAAGACAAAAACCACATGATTATCACAATAGATGCAGAAAGGGCCTTCAACAAAATTCAACAGCCCTACAAGCTAAAAACTCCAAATAAATTAGGTACTGATGGCATATATCTCAAAATAATAAAAGCCATTTATGACAAACCCACAGCCAATATCATGCTGAATGGGCACAAACTGGAAGCATTCCCTTTAAAAACTGGCACAAGACAGGGATGCCCTCTCTCACCACTCCTATTCAACAGTGTTGGAAGTTCTGGCCAGGGCAATCAGGCAAGAGAAAGAAATACAGGGTATTCAATTAGGAAAAGAGGAAGTCAAATTGTCCCTGTTTGCAGATGACATGATTGTATATTTAGAAAACCCCATCGTCTCAGCCCAAAATCTCCTTAAGCTGATAAGCAACTTCAGCAAAGTCTCATGATACAAAATCAATGTGCAAAAATCACAAGCATTCCTATACACCAATAACAGACAGAGAGCCAAATCACGAGTGAACTCCCACTCACAATTGCTTCAAAGACAATAAAATATCTAGGAATACAACTTACAAGGGATGTGAAGGACCTCTTCAAGGAGAACTACTAACCACTGCTCAACAAAATAAAAGAGGACAGAAACAAATGGAAAAACATTCCATGCTCATGGATAGGAAGTATCAATACTGTGAAAATAGCCATATTGCCCAAGGTAATTTATAGATTCAATGCCATCCCCATCAAGCTACCAATGACTTTCTTCACAGAATTGGAAAAAACTACTTTAAAGTTCATATGGAACCAAAAAAGAGCCCGCATTGCCAAGACAATCCTAAGCCAAAAGAACAAAGCTGGAGGCATCACGCTACCTGACTTCAAACTATACTACAAGGCTACAATAACCAAAATAGCATGGTACTGGTACCAAAACAGAGATATAGATCAATGGAACAGAACAGAGCCCTCAGAAATAATACCTCTACAACCATCTGATCTTTGACAAACCTGACAAAAACAAGAAATGGGGAAAGGATTCCCTATTTAATAAATGGTGCTGGGAAAACTGCCTAGCGATATATAGAAAGCTGAAACTGGATCCCTTCCTTATATCTTATACAAAAATTAATTCAAGATGGATTAAAGACTTGAATGTTAGACCTAAAGCCATAAAAATCCTAGAAGAAAACCTAGGCAATACCATTCAGGACATAGGCATGGGCAAGGACTTCATGACTAAAACACCAAAAGCAATGGCAACAAAAGCCAAAATTGACAAACGGGATCTAATTAAACTAAAGAGCATCTGCACAGCCAAAGAAACTACCATCAGAGTGAACAGGCAACTTATTGAATGGGAGAAAGTTTTTGCAATCTACTCATCTGACAAAGGGCTAATATCCAGAATCTACAATGAACTTAAACAAATTTACAAGAAAAAATCAAACAACCCCATCAAAAAGTGGGCAAAGGATATAAACAGACAATTCTCAAAAGAAGACATTTATGCAGCCAACAGACACATGAAAAAATGCTCAACATCACTGGCCATCAGAGAAATGCAAATCAAAACCACAATGAGATACCATCTCACACCAGTTAGAATGGCAATCATTAAAAAGTCAGGAAACAACAGGTGCTGGAGAGGATGTGGAGGAGTAGGAACGCTTTTACACTGTTGGTGAGACTGTAAACTAGTTCAACCATTGTGGAAGACAGTATGGCGATTCCTCAAGGATCTAGAACTAGAAATACCATTTGACCCAGCCATCCCGTTACTGGGCATATACCCAAAGGATTATAAATCATGCTGCTATAAAGACACATGCACACTTATGTTTATTGTGGCACTATTCACAATAGCAAAGACTTGGAACCAACCCAAATGTCCATCAATGATAGACTGGATTAAGAAAATGTGGCACATATACACCATGGAATACTATGCAGCCATAAAAAAGGATGAGTTCATCTCCTTTGTAGGGACATGGATGAAGCTGGAAACCATCATTCTCAGCAAACTATCACAAGGACAGAAAACCAAACACCACATGTTCTGACTCATAGGTGGGAATTGAACAATGAGAACACTTGGACACAGGTTGGGGAACATCACACACCAGGGCCTGTCCATGGGGTGGGGGGAGGGAGGAGGGATAGCATTAGGAGATATACCTAATATAAATGACGAGTTATCGGGTGCAGCACACCAACATGGCACATGTATACATATGTAACAAACCTGCACGTTGTGCACATGTACCGTAGAGCTTAAAGTATATTAAAAAAAAAAGAGTTCAAAGTGTTCTTTAAGTAATGCTATATACCAGGAATCCTACCTTCCTAACGTTCACTATTTTTATGCCAGACACCTGCCTTAATCAGAATCCTACTGTACCTGACCTGTTCTTATACCAGGCCTAGCTACACTGTTGACCAGCAACAGAATTTCCTGGACAAATTTCAAATAGGCATTATAAAAATATAGATGTCTACTTTCCTCAACAGTAATGCAAACTTTTGAAAGAAAAATTGTGCCTATATGTATCAATATATGCTTGTCGATAGTAACTATTTTTCTTTGACTTCTATGTACACAGTCTCATACAGGTCTCTGTCATGAGTAACCACCCAGTGAATTCTTGTTGACTGGCAGACCTAAACGAAGAATCCAAGCCTGAGGCTTGAATGATGTCTACAAATGAACAAGAGATGTACATTTAGTTCCTGTAGCTCTCTGAGAGTATTGTCTACTCAACTAGTTCCTCAAACTGGATCTGAACAGATTTCCAGATCAGATTTGGGTTAGCACTATAAAGTGTGATTAAACAACAAAAGAATATTGTTAGATGATATTAAAATCTAATCCTTTCTGTTTCTGGCTGCAAGGGAACTCTTATGGAATACCGGTGTGAAATGACTGGGCAAAGAATGTGAGCTATTAAAAATAATTTTCTAGTCTGGGCACGGTGGCTCATGCCTGTAATCCCAGCACTTTGGGAGGTCAAGGGGGCGGATCACAAGGTCAGGAGATCAAGACCATCCTGCCCAACATGGTGAAACCCTGTCTTTGCTAAAAATACAAAAATGAGCCAGGCATTTCAATGCACACCTGTAGTCCCAGCTACTCAGGAGGCAGAGGCAGATGAATTGCTTGAACCTGGGAGGCAGAGGCTGCAGCAAACCAAGATCACATCACTGCACTCCAGCCTGGGTGACAGAGCAAGACTCCATCTCAAAAAAAAAAAAAAAAAGAATAACAATAATAATAATTTTCTAAATAATATTTGCTAGAACATTCCATCAATTTGCATGGGACATTTAAATAGCTCTATGTGAACTATCGACTTGTTCTAAAAATTGCTTTTTAAATAAATTAAGCTTCAGTTCCTTAATTGATTATTTGTAGGTGAAAAGAAGCACCAATATCTTTTGTTATTATTGCAATAATATAAAAATAAAATATGCAGCAGACTACTGGCCCCAGGCACTGCCACTGAAAGTTTTCATCAGTATTAACCAGGTCATTAAAACTATATGTCATCATATCAGGATGAATTTAAATGTGAAAACGGTAAGTAAGAACTCTATCCATTTATTTAAGTGCATAATTAACCCAAAAGCAGCAAAAAGTAAGATATAAGGTATTTCATTCTATAGGTAGTTTTATCATTATAAAATATAAAATTATGGTAGTTATTATATCTTGTAGTACTTTATCCTCAGGTCAGAGTCTGTATCACAGAACCTTTTAATTATTATAATACACACGTATTATCTGCCTTAACACATTCTTTAGATCACATTCTTTGCACATAGAGGATAATGGTTGGATAAATATATAAAAGGCATACGCCACTAACTTAAGATTGTATCCATAGACATTCTTATAAAATGGTGTTATTTTCAGTCTGATAATGCTACTTGTTTCCAAATCCTACCCTTAAATTGAATTATTTGAAGAATCATTTAAGCTGTTAATTGTCACTGCCAGTTTCTAGGTGCTCAGATATTTTGATATAAGATATTAAAATATTAACCTCATATTGGAATTGTCCTTTGATATTTCTGTTGTATCTACACAAAGCACATTAAAATACTTAATCTTAAAATTTATTCAAGCAGAATCTACTGTATTATAAAAGTCAAAACCACATACTCTTTTTTTATTTTATTTTGTTTATTTTTTGTGAGACAGAGTCTCACCCTGTCGCCCAGGCTGGAGTGCAGTGGCACGATCTCGGCTCACTGCAAGCTCCGCCTCCTGGGTTCACGCCGTTCTCCTACCTCAGCCTCCCGACTAGCTGGGACTACAGGCGCCCGCCACCACCATGCCCGGCTAATTTTTTGTATTTTTGGTAGAGACGGGGTTTCACGGTGTTAGCCAAGATGGTCTCGACCTCCTGACCTCGTGATCCGCCCGCATTGGCCTCCCTAAGTGCTGGGATTACAGGTGTGAGCCACCGTGCCCGGCCTAAAACCACATACTCTTTAGATGGAAACGTCTGTCTTCCTTTTGCTGAAACAGTTAAATACATCCTGTTACAAGAGTAACACTAAAAGAAAAAACTAACTTCTACCTCTAAAACTCTATGATCCGTGCAGAGCTATATAAAATATAGCCAGTTACCCAGGTGTCAATCTGTAAGTGGTTTCAAAATGTAACTGAAATAAATGGTGCCAGTTAATTCCAATTTCCACATACAACTCAGTAAATAATTGGTGAGGTATAAATTGTTCTTGGAAAGCACCCTTGAATATATATATATATATTTTTTAAAAATCTCACTAATACTGGATTATCATCATTAAGATTTCTGTATCTCACAAATAGTTGTAGTCAGGGAATAATCACTAGTTGCTCTCAGCTGAGTTTCTAATCTCAAGACATGCATGGCATAGGGACTTATTCCAGGAATAAATGACTTGTTTTATTTAAAAATATTCTGGTTCCCAAAATCACAAATGAAGCTATTAAAGCAAGAAAATCTGTAGACATGTGGGAAACATTTTGCTTTTTCTACAATATTTACCAACCTAGAACTAAGAAAGTTGAATTAGCAAGAAAATGTGATCCTATATGCAATTTTGACTCAAAACCAGTTGTCTACCACCACCACTGAATACATGCAGAATAAATTGAAAGGCTACTGGCTTATAGAAATGCTAAATAAACCCTGACTGTCATAACTACATGTTATATTTTGGCCTTTTATCTAGGTAGCTTTTTTAATTTTTAAACACATCAATATTGAACAAATTATAGGCTAGGTCTACTGGATATGATCCTCTTCTTCCAATCTCATTTTATTATCTCATTAATTGATATATAAATTGATAGGGAAATTCAGCAAACATTTACTAAAGGCCTTATATATATGCAGCAGAATGAGAGATACTGGTTACACAAATACAATAAATTCTCTGCTCTCAAATGTTTGCTCTAATATTCAACAGTCTGAAAGAAGACATCAAGTATGTAAATCCAAAAAAAGGCAAAGAATTGCTTATATAGGCACAATCAAAATTCCAGAGAACTACCCTCCAGCCCTCCTGTTCCAACCTAATGCTCCCTATTCTAGCCTAGTTCTGCTCCTTATCCCACCCACACTCTGTTGTTTTCTCTGCAAGAATGGCCAAAGAGCCCATACTCTTCTCCTTCAGTAGGTGCCCTACATATTCTTCTCCCTTAGAAAACCCATCCCTAAACACCTCCTCCAACACAAGTCTGACTTGGCGTTGAAAGCAAGCTGCATCCTTTTGCTCCTTATCCACTTATGGCTGACTCAAAAGCAAGCATTGAAGCCCTTTTGGTTATAAGTGCTCAACTCTTAGAAAATTAGAAGATAAATACATAAACTATAAGAAGTTTGGGAAACCTACAAAGTTGATGATTATGATTATTTTTTCTTATGATATTTTGCATTTCTTATCTCTCATATATTGCATCTCTTAGCTAAGACATTTCCTTATCTTTCACACTTTTTAGATGTTCCTTGCATTTTTCCTCTCACTGACTGGATTACACTTGATATCATGGTTGACAATTGTAACTAAATTATTATTTGTACAATTTTTATCTCTAATATATACTCTTCCTTAAACTGAAGAAGGTTACATTGAAGAGGATGATGTGGATGTTAAAGTTTGACAGCTGAATAATGGTGTCAAAGATAATCCAGGCAGCAAGAAAGAAGTATGTGCCGTAGCAGAAAAGTAGTATGTGGAATACAGTAGGCACTTGATATATATTTATCAAACAAATGATGAGTTAATGAATGAACTCAAACTTCACCTTTTCTTTTAAATTCTCTCTAACCTTTGAGACTGAATTAATGAGTCTCTTCCTGTGCTTCTGTAAAACCACCACAACAATAATAGCTAAGTTACTGAGTGGTTATTACGTCTCAGGTGCTGCTTTAAAGGTATTAACTCACTTAATCCTCACAACAACTCCATGAAGTAACTGCAATAAATATCTCATTTTAGAGATGGAGATACTCAGACACAGAGAGGTTTAATAACTTTCCCAAGGTCACATAGTCAATAATTAGAAGAGTTCTATCCAACTATCCAATCCATAAATGCACACTACGAGCTCCTAAACATAAGCATTTTGTCTTATGCATCTCAATTTCTCCAATGCCTAGCCCTATAATGGTGCCTAGAATATAGAAAATTATTAGCAGTTTTTGAAAAGTGAATAAATAAATACTTAAACAGTAATTGATAACGTGAACCAACCATGCAATACAAAACCAATGCTTTACACACCTGCCAACTTCAGGTGTCCAAGGTTGAGAGAATCTCCCCTTATACCAGGAGAAGTTCTAATCAAACACCCCCCACCTTTTCCTCTGGAAAAAGAAATATTAATTTGATTTCAGCAGTTGCATCATACTTCTGTTATCCTCAGTAACTCAGAGCATCAGCCTCACTGGCCTTATTTCTATTTCTTGAACATGCCAAGTTTATTCCTACCTTAAGATCTTTGCACTTTAATTTTCTGTTTTTTTTTTCTTGTGGAAATACTCTTCTTCCAAATGTTCTCATGGCTTGAGGCTTTTAGCCAGTCAGGTCTCAGCTCAAGCATGACCTCTGCAACGAAGTTTCCCTGACCATAAACACCCAATATAAAATTACTTTGGGCTGAAGTCGTGTACTCCAGCTCAGTTCAGCAGAGAGCCAAGCTCTGGAATTTTAAACACAAGCCTGGGTGTTATAAATTAACTATTTATTATAAAGTAATTAATTTCATGTTTATATTGTCAATTGGGCATCTTTCTCCTGTAAGTAGCTCAGAAGTAGGAGGAGCAGCTAGGCCAAAACAATCTCTAGGCATTTCTGTAATCCTTGATTATTGTATAGTCTAATAGGACTCCAATTCTTATGATCAATCCTACAATTATTTACTTGTTTTCTTACAGAAAAGAGAAAATGAATGCATAAATGGACAAAATTATGGTGAAAGAAAGTGAGAAGAACAGTCTTAAAGGCAAAAGTTAAGCTCAAAATAGCATTCTGTTGTTAAAACCTAACTGGATGTATATGAAATTCAGGTATCTTTAAAAAACCAACTACCAAGTAGTCAATAATTGGACACTTAGGTAGTCACCTGTGCAATGATCATCAAGCCCTCAAATGGCAAAAAAAGGAGATTCCCCAATTTTCCAGTCCTACAACATAACCTGTACTTCCCTATACTCTAGGCCAGGGTTCCTCAACCTCAGCACTACTGACATTTGAAGCCAGATACTTCTTTGCTTTAGGGAGCTGTTTATTGCAGGGTATTTAGCAACATTCGTAACCTCTACTCACTAGATTCCAGTAACAACTGCTACCCCCACTCCCACCCCAAGATGTGACAACCAAAAATGTCCCCACCTACTGCTAAATGTTCTCGCCAGGAGAAAAGAGCCCCCAGTTGAGAACTTTAGTCGTGATTCTTTCTAAATCTATTATGGTTTGGACCAAAGTATGAGAGGAACTCCAGGTTTATAGCTATGTGGTCTGAGTTTCCCTTAAATCTGTATGGTTTTTTTCTTTAACAAATGGTGTTGGGAGAGCTGGGTACCAACAAAACATACTGCAAAAGATACTGGATACTGCAAAAGAAAGCAGTTGGACTCTAATCTTACACGATATGCAAAAATCAACTCAAAATGGATCAAAAACCTAAACACAAGACCCAAACTATAAAACTTCTATAAGGAAACATAGGGGAAAAGGTTCATGACACTAGATTTGATAATGATTTTTTGGCTATGACACCAGAAAGCATAGGCAAAAAAGTGAAAGTAGATAAATTAGGCTACATAAAAATGTAAAAATTCTGTGCATCAGAGAACACAAGAGTATAGTGAAAAGCCAGTCCACAGAAGGGAGACAATATTTGCAAATCATATATCTGACAATGGGCTAATACCTAGAATATATAAAGAATTCCTACAACTCAACAACAACACAGCAAGCCAATTTTAAAATGTACAAAGGACTTAAACAGACATTTTCCAGAGAAGATACTAAATGGCCAATAATCACGTGAAAAGCTGCTCAACATCACGAATCATTAGGAAAATACAAATCAAAGCCAAGATGATGTGCCATCTAACACCCATTAGGATAACTTCTATCAGAAAAAAATAACAGAAAATAATAAATATTGGTCAGAATGTGGAGAAAGTGAACTTTTATGCACTGTTGGTGGGAATGTCAAATGATACAGTCATTATGGAGAACCGTATGGGAAATAAATTAAAAATAGAATTATCATATGACTCAGCACTTCCATTTCTGGGTATATACCCCAAAGAAATAAAAGTAGAGTCTCAAAGAGATATTTTTACATCCATGTTCATAACAGCATTATTCACAATAGCCAAAAGGTGGAAGCAACCTAAATTTCCATAGGTGGATGAGTTATTTTTTTTTTAAAAAGTGGTGGTTTCTGAGAGCTTAGAGGGAAGAAAAACCGAGGAGTGGTTGCTTAAGTGGTATAGACTTTTAGTTTTGAAAGATGAAAAGAGTTCTGGAGGCTGGTTGCACAAGAATGTGAATTACGTAACACTACTGAACTGTACACCTAGAAATAGCGAAGATGGTAAATTTTGGGTTGTGTTTCACCACACTTAAATTTAAAAAAACTGTATCAGTAAAGAACAATTAGTGAAATGAAGATAGTTCTTCCAGATTTGAAAATGTAGAATCCAAAGCATCATCTTAGAAGTATCTGGGCCTTAAATATAGGTTATCCTTGGATAACGGGATCCATTGACACTTCTGAATGAAAAACTGCCTGTCCACTGGCTACCATTATGATTCACCTTTGGTTCTGCCTTTTTTTCAAATGATGGCAAAATCAGTTATCATTTCACTCACTCTTAATTAAATCCTAAGGTAAAAAAACATTCACTGAGTACCAATTATGAATCAAGAATGGTGTTGGGGAGAGTTACACAAAGTGTGCAATTCAATTCTGGGAAGATAATAATAGATCTTTGAAAATCTGACACTGAACACATTCAGTCATAGCACAGTTTCACAGTTAAGACCATGGATTCTTGAGCCAGACCACCTAGGTTTTAATTCTGGCTCTTCCACTTGCTAGCTGTGGTCTTTTTGCCTTATGCCTCAGTTTCTACATCCTTGGATGGGGATACTAATAGTACCGTATTCATAAAGTTACTGTGAGGATTAAATGAGTTACTATTTGTGAAGTTTAGTTAGAGCATTGCCTGACATATAGTGTTACTTAAGTACATACTCACTAAACAAATCCACATGCACTGCACACCTAACTACATAAAAAGACCTTGCTAGAAGCTGTGAACTTTGCTCAAATTGTGCCCTAGAACCTATTATTTAACATGGCAAAAGGAGATTCCTAGTTGTTTGGCTATTTCAAGAAAATGTTCAAGTCCTTGAAAATATCCTCTCCATCTGTGATGACTGAGAACAGATTGTTTAATGAAGAGAAAGTAAGACGACTGCTAAGTTTCCTCATACTGGGCTCACAATGTGGTTACTCCTTCTGCCCTAGGAGCTTCAAACGGCACAGAAGGAAGTGGGGTGTGAGCCTGTTGTCATGGTGTGCACACTATGATTATTTTCAGAGAGAAACAACCATTAAACTCAAGTGTTATTCCTAGGTTTAAGACAGAACACAAAAGCAAAAAACAAATCCAAAGTTTTAAAAGTATCTGCTCTATCAAACTAGAGTCATGGATAGAATTATAATGATGCTCTCTGAGTAGGAGCCTGAGCTGCATTACAAATGTGAAACCTTTTATGAGGACCAGATGGAAACATTAAACGCCTAGAGAATTTGAGAACATGTTAAAAGTGAAAATCCCAATCCAAACACAATGACTATGTCTGATGTATGCTACTGCAAAACCAGAAAATATTTAGGACATAAACTCCTTAAAAGATTGTCTTTCACTGAAAAATAAACAACCCCTAGGAGTTCCCAACTGGTGAACACTTGGCTAAAAAAATGTGGCATGCAAGTTCAGAAAACATCACTTGGACCTGTGTAAAAAGTTATAAGATATAATTCTTGATATTTTTCATTATTATAATACAAAAGGGAAACAATTATAATGTCTTGGTCTCAATTAACAATTATTTCTTAACTGAATATGTAGAAAGAAGAGGTTTTAACTAGGCTAACCTAGAAAACTGCATATAAATTCTTTATGTATCCATCAAAAACAAAAAAAGGTCATTTTTCATTTTGCTAATTTCTATTATACATCTGTTCACATTTTAGAAATATCCTAATTGTCTGACAAATTGTATGTATGTGAGTTTCCTCATAGCCTGAAATTTCAGATGTTACATTATTTTGTCACCCTCTGCCTGCCAATATCCTAGTGGCAAAATAAGGACCGAAATAACTTTGTCCCACCTGTAGTAAAATACAGATGTCTCACAGGAAAAAAAACACTCATTTTTTTAAAACATGTACTTGCCAATTATTTTGCAATATGAATAGGAAATAGTGTCTGTCATCAAAGAGATGAGTCTAATATAATTATTCCTGAAAATTTTCTCTTCTACATAATGCCCTACAAATAAAATTTACCATTGTGATACTCTTTCTTAAAAATATTCATGTTGCTCTTGTTTCACTAGCCTTGCTGTAGCACAGGGTAAAAAGATAGCCATGGTTTTGGTTTATGTACTCACTATGCAGTTACTTTATGAGTGTCCTTTTCATTTCCATTGATTCACTACGTATTAGTGACAAGCAACTCAAAGAAACATAATTCCAATTAAAGAATAAATATTCACTTATTACTGTCCTACAATGTTGAAAATTAATCCAGCTTTCCATCCATAGAAATAGAGCTAAAGAACTCACCAGTTCTTTTTTTTTTTTTTTTGGCAGATGAATGTTTTATTTGTAATAGCAAAAAAACATAAAAACAAATGCTTGTCAACAAGTGAATGAATAAACACATTTTGGTATATCCATGCAATGGAATAGTGTTCAGCAATAAAAAGGATTAACTATGCATACATAAAACAACATGCATGAATCTCAAAGTAATTCTGATGAGTGAAAAAAATAGACAAAAGAGTACACATTATATGATTCCTTTACTTTCATAGGTTACTTCTGTGATCAGTCTTATTCCTCCACAATTTTTCAATGACTTTCAAAATTCCCACTTCCTTGACTTTCTTCCATTTTCTTCCTGTGAGACTTTTTGACATCATGTGATGCCATACTCAGCCTCATCATCCCCACGAAGATTAATCATCTTTCTCTCCTTGCTTCCATCCATAGAAATAGAGCTAAATATCACATGCAATATTGTTGAAGCAAGGAGAGAAAGATGATTAATCTTCGTGGGGATGATGAGGCTGAGTATGGCATCACATGATGTCAAAAAGTCTCACAGGAAGAAAATGGAAGAAAGTCAATGAAGTGGGAATTTAGAAAGTCATTGAAAAATTGCAGAGGAATAAGACAGATCACAGAAGGTTAACCTATGAATGTAAAGTATAGTATTAGATATGGAAAGAAATAAAAATAATATCTACTTAATGCCCATTATGTATGATATTATCTGACTAAATCTTCACAACTATAAAATAAATTAGATAGTATACTAGGTACAATGGGAGGAAGAGACTAGATGAGTTATTTTCCTAAGATTCTACAGCTAGTAAACAATGTAATCACAATATGAATTTAAGTTTTCTTGCTATTAAGTTTAGTATACTTGCCAAATGCCCCTCTTTCTCTTTATAAAGAAAATAATCTCTTATTAAATTTTATATAATATTTTTTAAATTTTAAAATTTATATTTCCAGATAAAATTACTTTGAAAGGCAATAGTTATTTTTACTATTTTATTTATCACATAATATTTTAAATTATCTGTTCACATTTCCCTCTCCCATTCAACATGGGGCCTCAGTGCTTAAAACTGGAAGGTACCCAAACAGTCTGCAACTCATTTGTCTATTTATTCACTTATTCATTCAATAAATATGTATTAACTACCTACCATGTGCTACCATGTGTTCTAGTTTTGAGGATTTAGAAATGAATAAAATAGACAAAGTTCTTTGTCTTCATGGAGATTATATTCTAATTGGAGAGAGAAAAGAGACAGACAATACCAAAGATTAGATAGATAGATGATAGATAGATAGATAGATAGATAGATAGATAGATAGATAGATAGATAAAGATACAGATCATATGGATATGAAATAGATGTAGATATAGAAAAATACATATATATGTAGATATATACATCAGGTGCTATAAAGAACCCAAATCAGGGATAATGATGGTAGAAAGGCAAAGATGTGCACTGCTATTTTTTATAGATGGCCAAAAAGTCTTCTCCAATTAGATGAATTCAAGACACCACCTGAAATAAGAAAAGAAAAGCCCATACAGATATCTGGAGAAAGTTTTTTCTTGACAACAAGAAAAGGCCGAGGTCTTGATAAGAAATCCTGCTTAGCCTGAGAACCAAGTGCAGCAGTGTGGCTGGGATGGTGTGAGGGGAAGGAAAGGAGTTGGAGAAGTAATAGGTAGAGACCAGGGTAGATTTGTAGGCATGGTACATGCACATTGACCCATACTCTGAGTGAAATAGGATGTTGTTAAAGGATTCTGAATAGAGGAATGAAACAACTGATCAGATAATATAAAGGATCACTGTGGCAGCTACAAGAGGAATTAATTGTAAAGGGGAAAGAATGAAAGAAGGGAGATCCAGTAAGATGTTAATTTGATAATCCAGGTTTGAGGTAATGGTTACTTGGATCAGAACAGCGACAGCTGGTGATGAGAAGTGGTGACAGTCTCGCTTCCTTGTGAATGTTGAGCTGATAGGATTTGCTGATGCATTTGAAATGGGAAATATCAGAGAAAAACAGGAATCATGCAAGACTCCAAGATTTCTGACCTGAGTAATTAGAAAAATTGAATTGCATTTTACTGCAATGGAAAAGATTTGGAACATGTTACATCAAGGGCATGGTGTAGGGGGGAGAAAGCCATGATGTCCATTTTGGATGTGCTAAGTTTTGGCTGTCAAGAAGGCTGCTGGAGAGAGACATAGATCTAGAGTTCAGAGGAAAAGTCTGGCTAGAGATATAAATTTGGGAAGCATCAGCATACGGATGTTATTTAGATTGAGATACTTGGCCTAGGGAGTTATTATAGGACAAAAATGAAGAGGTCCACAACCCTCTGGAGCATTCCAATATTTAGACTTGAGGAACATGAGGAGGAACCAACCGAGAAAGAGAAGCCCATGAGGAAGGAAAGACATTCAGTGTTCTGGAGGCCAAGTGAAGGAATTGGTCATTATATTTGGCACATGGAATGTCATAATCTCAGGAAGAACACTTTTAGTGGAATTGTGAGGAGAAAACTTGGTTAGAAGTTTCCAGAAGATGACTGGAGGAGAGGAAACCAGTAGAGCAGTACAATTATTTGGGAGAGTTTTGCTTATAAGGGAGAAATGAAATACAGCAATAGATAGAGGAGTGCCTCGGGTCAAAGAGGGCTTTTTAAAGGGAAATAGCATGTTTATAAATGGATACCATTTAATAGAATGGAAAACTGATGATACAGGAGACAGCGGGGACAAGTGCAAGAGCAAAGCCCTTGTGGGTGAGTACTGATATAATGCAGTGCACAGTAAGGGGTGGCCTTAACCAGGTACACAGATAATTCATCTATAGAAACAGGAAAGGCAGGAAATGGGCACAATCAAGCAGGTGGTTGACAATGCTAATGAATGAATGAATGAGTGAATGAATGGTTTGCAAATACAATGACATGCCTGGACATTCAGCCCATCGTCTATGTTCCATGCCTGGAACATAACCTTTCATCCTCCAAAATACTCCCCTTTGTCTCTTCTCTCTAATGTGCCAAATTCTGTAAGTAGAAATTAATTCTTCTAGTTTAATGGTTTATTCTCCCCAAATTAAACCCCATGAGTCCATTATGTGTAAGAGCAAATGAATTTTACAAGCCTTCCTGGGAGGAAGCTTTTAATAAGGGAACATGTGAATCCAGTAACCCTGGATATTTTCCCACAGGAGCTGGGAGTTGGAAGTTGCAAAGGGGATGGGGCGGGTTGTGTAATGATATACCTCTGTATCTATGGACCTTGTCAGCATATAAAATGTGTTACTCCAAATCAGAACACATGTACTAAATCTTGGTTTATTTCTTTGTAGCTTGTTTACCTGGTATCAATTAATCGACCTTCCTGAGTCTCAACTTTCTCATCTGCAAATGGAGATGAAGACTAAATGATATAAGAAATATATGATGTAATTGTTCTATCA
Organism: Homo sapiens; assembly: GCF_000001405.40. Classification (NCBI taxonomy): domain Eukaryota; kingdom Metazoa; phylum Chordata; class Mammalia; order Primates; family Hominidae; genus Homo; species Homo sapiens. Next base: position 66,007,774 of record NC_000001.11, on the reverse strand, counting down.
TTGCCTAATTTTTATGTGAAAAAAATTAAAATGCGAATTTGTTTCCCTCTGTCTTAGGAGATATTTCCTACCTGCTCACATCAGCAGACTACCTAGCCTATTGCTAGTACACCAGATTCTCAAGTATAGCTCACTACTGATTAATTGCTCAGTATGTCACCATAACAGGGGCAGACTCAAGGCTCACAGCCATTTGGAAAAAGAAGTGGAACCATTGCTCTTCAAACCTGTAGTTTCATAATTAGATCATTTCCACCTGGTAGCAGTGGGAGAGCATTGTATTTTATACTTGTTTTTCATTTGTTTGGTTTTGGTTGGGGGGGGTTGTTTTGTTCGTTTTTCTTGTTCTGTCACCCAGGCTGAAGTGCAGTGGCATGATCTCGGCTCACTGCAAACTCCACCTCCAGAGTTCAAGCAATTCTCCCACCTCAGCCTCCCAAGTAGCTGAAATTACAGGTGCCTGCCACCACACCTGGCTAATTTTTGCATTTTATTAGAGATGGGGTTTCACCATGTTGGTCAGGCTAGTCTTGAATGCCTGACCTCAAATGATCCCCCTGCCTCAACCTCCCAAAGTGCTGGGATTACAGGCATGAGCCACCATGCCTGGCCCTGTATTTTATACTTTTATATATTTTTTTCAGAGTCAAAGTTTCACTCTGTTGCCCAAGCTAGAGTGCAGTGATGCAATCAGGGCTCACTAAAGCCTGGAATTGCTGGGCTCAAGGATCTTCCCACCTCAGCCTCAAGAGTAGCTTGCACTACAAGCACTTGCCACTATGCCTGGCTAATTTATTATTTTTTTAATTTTTGTAGAGATGGGAGTCTCACTGTATTAGTCTATTCTCACACTGCTGTTAGGAAATACCTGAGACTGGGTAATTTATAAAGGAAAGAGGTTTAATTGACTCACAATTTCGCATAGCTGAGGAGGCCTCGGGAAACTTACAATCATGGCAGAAGAGGAAGCAAACACGTCCTTCTTCACATGATTGCAGGAAGGAAAAGTGCAGAGCAGAGCAGGGAAAAGCCCCTCATAAAGTCATCAGATCTGTTGAGAACTCACCCACTATCATGAGAACAGCATGGGGGAACCTCCTCCATGATTCAATTACCTCCCACCAGGTCCCTCCCATGACACATGAAGATTAAGGGAACTATAATTCAAGATGAGATTTGGGTGGAGATACAGCCAAACCATATCACTCACCATGTTGCCCAGGCTTGTCTCAAACTTCTGGCCTCAAGCAATTTTCTCGCCTCAGCCTCCCAAGTGGTTGGAATTACAGGTGCAAACCACCATGCCTGGCTATACTGATATACTCTTAACACTTGTATCTGTGAAAAATTAATCATTTGACATGCCAAATGACTATATACTCTCCTTACCCAGATTAAAGCTCCTTGATGGCATGGTGCCTCATGTTTGCATTATCCAGCAATAAATATCTGTTGGTTGTAATCAATAAAAAACGAAAATACTAGCCACCCATCAGAGTTAACTCACTAAGCGATGTCAATCTGGTGTTTATCCATTGACAAAGGACTAACATACACAAATGCAGCAAAGCTGTAAGAAACCCAAAACAATTATCTTAGCTTTCAGATAACTAAGTACTTGGCAAGAGCATTTTTAGGGTTCATATAAAATACAAAATTCATTAATGTATTTTAAAGCTGAGACACATTTTTGAAAATCTGATACGCATAAAACTTTTTTAGAAACTTTTTTTCCTTTCTAAATGCTTCTGCCATGTTATTTTGCAGAAAGGCAGAGCATTCCGTGAACACTGGTATTGAATATTCATACTATAATACATAAGGTAAGGGTGGTAGAGCAGGTAATTATTAATCCCACTTGACAGAAAAGCTACCAGCATCAAATGAATGCATATGTGCTCCGTGGGCATTAGGGATTCAGCTGGCATTAAAACTCAAATCCCTTGAATCCCAAGCAAGCACTGTATTCATGAAGATAGCTCCTTCATAATATTAGACTCTGCAAAGCTTTATTCAGATGAAGCAGTTGCTTAATTTAATCTACAATTTCCATACAGGTTCCTAAGTCTTATTTTTATTAATTTAGACAGACCCAGAAACTTGGCATGATCCTTGTGAAACCCAAAAGTAGTTTACTTTATTTTTCAATGTTACTAAGCTGTGAGTTGATTTGAATAACCACTTTTCAATGGCAATTCATTTAAATAGAATCCCTGGACTTAAAGATATAACTTTTTCCTGCCTTTAAGTTGCCAAGTGACACAATAGCCTGATCAAAGATTATGTGAGAAGGAAAACTTTCTCAAAGCAGAAGCAATAACCTTTATTTTTGTTTTCATCCTTAAATATTCTTTGAAATGACCAAGAAATAAAGAGCAATTTGATTTAAATGCTGTAAAGTTGTCTGAATAAAGGCAACTTTCACTTCATTATATATTGGTTATATGAGCTTGTTATTATCTTTCTGCAGGAAGCTAAAAGTGATATAAAGACCCGTGGGGTAGATGAGATCTTAAGGTACCACTTAGTCTGTCTCCTGTCTCCAGTCTCTCACTTACATGGTCCCATAAAGCAGAAACTCTTCCCCCTTTTATAAAATAAATCTGGAGCAATGTGTATGGTATTTGATAATATTTATTAATGGGATGCTCTTTACATATACCGAAATACACCTGCGGCACTTAAGTCAAGCTCTTTGATTTTTATATTTTAATGATGGAGTACCCTTACTTTCTGTAAAGTAATCTTTATCTTTCTTTTCCCATGCTTCTCAACCATACTAATTAATATTTGTAAATGTTATATAATCATATAAAATCATATAAGTAGAGAAATCAGTGATATTGTTTTATCTCTTATTTACTGATGAGGAAGTTGATGCTCCCAAAGGTTAAAGAACTACTCCTTCTCCACTCAAAAAATAAATAAATAAATAAACAAATAAATAAACAGTTTGTAAGTGGTGGTGCCAGGAAACATGTCTAGATTCTGTCAATCTAGATCCCTAGGTGCTTTTCCACTGCCTCTCATGAATAAACTTTCTGATATAAACAAGTCACTAGGAGGTTAGATCCCACTAAGGAAAACAACTTCAGAGATGTTCTGGCACTTTGAAAAGACCATTAAATGTTTTTTACGTTAACTTAAAAAAAACAGTGCTTCATTGGTATCTATTAATAGTTTCACTAATGGAGAAAGTATCAAATTCAAGAAGGTAACTGGAATTTTAAAGAAAAAAGATTATTCTATGGTCAAAATCTGCAATTTGGAATGGTCTCTGTGATGAATGAGAGTGATTACACACCATAACACATAAGGATTTATTACTTTTTATTTTATTGTGGTAAGGATAATTAATATGTGCTTTATGATAAAGTCATATCCTATGAAACTAAGTAATATCTAAGTGGTCTAAAAGAATGGATTTAAGATGCACCACATTTGCTCAATGAAACTGATTTAATTAAACCATGTTATAAAGATCTTTAAGTAGTTTACATTATGATACATATTATATAAATTTTACACAAAATCATAAGCTCTCGATACATTAGTGAACTAAGGACTGCTTTTATTACCTGCCATTGGCCAGGGATTATACTAACCATCATACACACATTACTTCATTTAATCTTCATAAAGGCCTAATGAAATACAAGTAGAGTTTTTCTAATTTTTCTAATTTTTCTACTTTTTCTAAGATAGGTTGAATGGTTTGCCCAAAAACAGTGTATGGTAAAAGATGCAGTTAGAAACCAAATGTTGTGCTTTTTGCATCATATCACCTGGCATCCTAAAGTCTCTATGTCGTTTTGATAAATGAGCATGTGAAAGACACTGTTTTATGGGTGAACTCACACCTGGCTGAGCAGGCTGACAGGTAAAGACAACAGCCAGGGTTAATCCCATGAAACTGAAATTTGCATATGAATTTCAACAGTAGACTCTCAGGAGGAAGTCTTGGGCAGTTAGGACCTTAGCAAGAAAGACTTAGATCCCATAGTTTATTTGTCCAGTCTTCTCTGACCTCTCTTCTGGCCTAAAGAATCCTGATGGTGAGATAAAGAATTCCTGTATAAACTGCTGAGGGAATTACAGCAGAAATAAGCCACAGAAGCATGCTCAGATCCTCTGTGCTGCAACAAATAGTCTCAGCTTATTAATTTTGTAGAGGATCAGAAAGGATGGAAGGAGACGTTTTGAGATAAATAAGTTTGATGACACTGGAATTCTTCCAAGGCATTTGTTCACTGAATCCTATATTGGCTTTTAATATGCGGATCCTGAAATAGACAAGGCATCTTCTTATGTTTTGCTTTGTCTTGTTACTTTTAAGCTTATTGGTACAAGTGGATGGAATGACTTCAAAGTGGTTCTCTTCCTATCTCTTTCACAGAGTGAAGATGATAAATGTTTTTTTTTTTTAAATGTATTGATGAGAGCAAAACAAGACAATAAAATTTCTTATCGGGAATGTAAGCTATTCACACTGGGTCTTCTGATAATTAGTGCATTTTAGTATAATTTAGCTTGGTTCATTAGGATATGATTATTACATGACAGCAAATGAATGATACTTTGTTTCTTAGTATACTGAATTGTCACACTGTGGATATTATAAATGTACTTCTTTACTAACCCACATGCACTTTGACTCTTCCAAATTGGCACAGTCCATACATACTGATGCTTTTCAAAAAATAAAAAAAAACTAGTTCCTGCTTTACCAACCAACCCTGACAATAATATGAATGTTTGTGTATGTTTAGAGATTTAGTCAGATAATTAAACAGTAACATCTATTAAACAACTTATAATGCTTGAAGTACTGTTCTAAGTACTTTAATACATTATCTCAAGAAATAGGTAACTCACAGTCTAGGTAGATATTTTTTAAATTAAATTAACATTTGCAAATATCTGAATATAAAACTCTTTTCTCCATTTTGCCAGTTAAAGAATTGAGGTCTAGGACAATTAAATTAGTTCTAGGATTGATCTAAAGTTTCAAGAGCAAATCAAGGTAAAATACTGATACCCAACCTAGCATTCTCAACTCCAGATGAAGTCACATAAAACAAAGATTCACCATGAAAAATAAATTCCAGACAACGTCAAAATTATACAGTGATAGAACCCCAAGTTCTACAGTATACTACATTAAGGCATTATATAGTGTTTCATATATATTATAAAATTATTATAGATTTATTTTTTTAAAAAAACTTCCTTCTTGAGGAAGAAAATTTGAATCTTATAGACATCATCTCTTAGAAACCATTTTAAGAAATGAAAACCAATAATTTATCAGCAAGAAAAATCATGTTATGATAGATGCCTTTAGCCCTCTACTATATTTTAATAGTTTTCTTTTTTAAACCGGTGCTACAAATGTATTCATAACTTGCCAATATGTCAGTGTGCTCTTAAAAATTAAAATATTTGCAAAGTTTATTGATACATGACTTATATAAACAATTTTATTTTACCAAAGAGATAAGGATAGCAAATAAAGACATTAAAAGATGTTCGGTATTACTAGTCATAAGGGAAACACAAATTAAAATCACAGTAAGTTACCACTACTTATCTGTTAGAATGACGAAAATTTAAAAAAAACTTGACAATACAAAATGCCCTCACACATACAGAATAATAAGAACTCTCATATATAGCTAGTAAGACTATAAAGTGGGACATCCATGATGGAAAACAGTTTGGCAGTGTTTTATAAAGTAAAGCATATACTATAGGCCAGGCACGGTGGCTCATGCCTGTAATCACAGCATTTTGGGAGGTTGAGGCAGGCAGATTGCTTGAGCCCAGGAGGTCTAGACCAGCCTGGGCAACATGGTGAAAACCTATCTCTACAAAAAATACAAAAATGAGCTGGGTGTGGTGGCACGTGCCTGTAGTCCCAGCTACTCAGGAGGCTGAGGCACAAGACTAGTTTGAACCCATGAGGCAGAGGTTGCAGTAAGCCAAGATCATGCCACTGCACTCCAGCCTGGGTGACAGAGCAAGATTCCATGTCAAAAAAATAAAAACAAATAACAACCAAAAAAGCATATACTTCACAATACAACCCATCAATGCCACTCTAAGATATTTACCCAAGAAAGATTAGAATATATGTTTACCCAGAAAACCATACATGAATGTTTATATCACCTTTATTCATAATAGCCAAAAGACTGGAAATCCAAATTTTGATCCAGTTGGTGAACAGATAAACAAGTTGTAGTACACCCAATACAAAGGAATACCACCTAATAATAAAAGGGAATAAATTACTAATAAATGCAAAAACACGGATGAATTGTAATAACAGCAAGCTTGATACATGGAAACTGTTTTAAAATAAATAATATTTTTCTTTTGATCCCAAAACTATTGCTCTCCATCGAAATGTGCTCTCTTCAACATAAAGAAAACATATATATGATTTTATACACAGAAAGAGACAAAGAGGTAAATAAGAGAAACCACTAACAATTAGTATATCTAGGTAAAAGGTGTTCATTGTACTATTCTTTCAACTTTGAAATTTTAAATGTTCACTACCAGTGATGTCTCCCTGACCCACAGTTGCTTTCATCCTCCTCATTTATCCTGCTGCCATTCCTGGACATATTAGATGAAGATGATTTTAATATTATAAATTATCTGGAAATGTCTGTGACTTTATCAAGCACAACTAAACAGATTTCTTTTCTCCCTCTACTCATTTAACTCTTAAACTGGTGGTTTTCAAGTACTTGGAGATTATAGAATTTGTGTGAGAATCCTCCAAAATTCTCCAAGCATATAATCATCCATGTTGCTTTGTTCTGACCGAGAACCAGGAAACAGATCATCACCACCCTCTTTTTCGAGGAATCTCCAAATGGCTCCTAGATCACTGATTTTCCAGAAAATACAGTTTGAAAGAAGCACTCTTTGAAGCTACACTATCCTCCATCCCCTGACTTCCAATCTGCATAGTTTGCAATAAAGCTGAGTTTTGAGAGGTATAGTTTGGAAGAGGAGGACAAGCCTTGGTCTGTCAAGGGAGCACATCATCTCATAGGCATTCTCTTTACAAAGGTTTTGAGAAGCAGTCATCCTCATTCTCCCTAAGTTCCAGGAAGAAGCAACCTGAGAAGTTGAGTTATTTTTCATTTCAACCTAAAGTACACAGTGGTATTCAAACATATTTATGTCAAACAAATTACTACCAGTGACAGAGGTCCCCAACCTCCTAGTTCAGGAAAGAAAAAATGAGGCAGAACCAAGTGAACAGTTTCCCTCTCAGTGACGTCTTTTCTAGAGTACAAGGGTTATTAACTTGCAATTTCCTCACTCTGCAAGTCATAGACTTCTTACTTCCAAGTTCCCTGGGGAAATCCTATTAAAAGCTCAAATTGCTGTAGCTGCTGCTAGAGTTAATATTGTAAATGTTGCATCAGTGGAAAAATATAGATAATTAAGCATTCTAATGTACACTATGTAAATATTTTGAAGGCAAAATAACAAGTAGATTCCCCCATACAACACTTCTCCTCAGGCATTTGGTGAGAGATATGTAGAGCTTTCCTGAGCTGATGCACCAACCATGCTACTTGATGAATGAAGAAAAACCAAATAAATAATTGTACAGTGCTACAGACAAATATTTACTTTACAGCACTACAGACTAGGAGGTATGATTTGTACATGGTGACTTAATTAAATAGGCTACTATGTAAAGCATTTAGGCTCTAGTGAGATATTATAATTAAATCTATACCTGCAATATCATAGAATACAATATAGGAAGCAAGCTGCAGTAGCTCTACTGACAGAAAGAGAGCACAGCTATTGAGAGATGATTGGAGAAGAATGCTTATAGAGTAAGTATCAACAAAGCTTCCTTTCCATTTCCATCATATCAAGCTATAGGAAAAATGCTCATAGAATAAAGAGCAGGAAACAGAAACCATATTCATTCTTTATTTCTTCAACAAGTATTTGTTAAATGACTGCCTTTCTTGTATGCTCTGAGGATACTGAAAACAAGACAGAATCACTGCCCTCATGAAATTTAGCAGGGATGGCAGATGATGAAAGGATAAGACAATATAACAAATAAGCATGTCTATAATGTATTTTCAGGTAATAATAAGTACCAAAAAGACAAGGAAGTAAAAGGCGAAAGGGTGCTATTTTAGATAGGGAGGTCAGCAAAGGCCTCTCCGGATAGTGATACCTGGAGATAGTAGAATCCTGAATGGACATAAGGAGAAACCGTGTTAACATCCAGGTACTTTTCTTCCAGGCAGAAGAAAACCAAGTGCAAAGGCCAGAAGTGAATACAGGCTTAGTTTGCTGAACAACAGAAAGCAGGCTCACAGGGCTGGAGAACAGGAGAGGAGGTTGGAAGCAGCCTGGGGCCAGATAATGTAGGGCCTGAAAACCATGGTAAGCGTTTGAGATTTTTTTCTAAGAAATCGCTTAAATGCTTCTAGCATAATGTTGCAAGTGCATTGACAGTGATGTTAGAGAAGGAAGCACTATAAACATCCAAGGAGAAAAACTGAGAGATAACAAAACAGAAAGGAATGGAAAGAGAACGCAAGTGGGATTTAGCAAAATGGGTTTAGCCTTTAGCAGAAAGGCAGCTGGCAAGCTTGCTGGGCCACCTTCCGGCATGTGTCCTGGGGGTTGTCACCATTACTTTGCAAAGCCCTTTTTACTGTAAGTATTTTAAAAATCCAATATATTGAAGACTTGATGACACTAAAAGGCCAGGAAAACACTATTTATAGATGTACTGATAAAATGCTTGCTCTGATTAAAGCAACAGACTCAGGCTATGAGGCATAGATTTCTACTGCCATTTGATTCAGATTGTGGACTAAGATAATATCTGCTTTTTTTTTTTTTTTAACCCACTAGGAGTCTGCACTTAAAGTAAAATACAAAGCACCTCTAGTAAATTAGGACTGAGCTAATAGGGTTTTCCTCAGATACACACATCCTCCTATGCACCTTTGCTGATTGTTTGATGCATGTGGGGGTATTGTACCAGCTAGTACTATCTACAGCATCATGGTGTAAGTGATAAATGCAAGAGACACCAAGTTCACATGCTTTCCTCCCAGTTTCCATAAACCATAATTTGTTAAGTCATAAAACATGTCATATGCATAGTTTTCAATGTTACGGGATATACAAAATAAGTAGAAGTCATTATCTCTCAAATGCACATTGTCCCTTTTCCAGTTACCTTTAAGCTCCTTGTCCTCTAATCCATTCTCTACCTGACCTGCAAAGTACCTTTCCAAAATAAAAATAATACATGGCAATCCCCTTCTCATAACCTGTCGTGGCTCCTCACCGAGAATGGATGGGCTAAAACTCCAACTCTTGTTCATGATATTGGAAGCCCTAGCAAATGGCTCCAATCTGCTGGCACAGTCTTACTTCCTAGCTTTCCCACCTTGCATCCTTAGGCTGAAACCCCAGTGAACTATGTGTATTTTCACTCGTGCTCAGAGTCAAATCCCAACTCAGCTGTTTATTTTCTGTGTAAACTTGAACAAATTACTTGTCCTGTCTGACCTTTATTCCTTTTCCTATAAAATGAAAATAATATAATAGTATATAACTCAGGGGGTTTTATATGCTTAAATGAGTAAATACATTTATAATTAATATCCAACACATTATATAAGTGCTGAATATATTAGAGCTATTATTGTTATTATTTGTTAACAGGATTTCCTAATTATTGCTCCCTTGGCCAAAAAATACCTTTCCTGCCCACTTTTCTCCTAGAAAACTCCTATTCATTTGTCACAACCCCACACAAATGTCATCTCTTCTCGAAACTTCCCTTAACACATTGACTCACTCTCTAGTGGTAGTTATTTCTTCTGTGCCCTCATGACAAGTTGAACAACATGCTTCAGTAGCATTATTCCCACACCATTGGTTAATTATTATTGCATAAGTTTGTCTTCCAGCTAGTATAGGAGTTCTTTGAAGACAAGGGCTTTTTCTCATTTTGTGTCTCCTAAGCCCAGATCAGAGCCTGGTGCATAGTAGGCTCTTAACAACTGTTTTGTTCAAACAAATGTTGAATCAATAAACATGTAAAGACAGACATCTCTCAAAAAATTTCCAATATTACCAGGATAGAATTCAAGGCAATTGATCAATATTACTAGCACAGATTCAGTAGAGTTAGCTAACAAACTAGGACTAAGTTGTATAATACAGCAAGCATGTCGGCAGTTCTAAGGTCAATCATATGCCATATTCACTGTTTTTTTTCCTATTCTCCACTTAATCCAGTGTTGTCTTGCCAAATATAAGTCCCTTTAGAGTACTAACTATGGCTTTTAAAACTTTTGTATTCAAATATTAGATAGACAAGTAAAGACTTCATAAACCTTTGTTAAAACGAGAAAAGATTTCCAAGATACAGGTAAAACTAAACGAGAAGAAGGAATACAAGCCTCTTTTCTCCTACTAACTTCTAATTACAAAAATATTGTTTCCTGTGTGCAAGCATGGACAGAGAGATAGAGGGTAGTCCTCACAAATACAAGAAGAGAGCTCCAAAAAGGAGCAGCAATGCAGCAGGGTGGGGGGCGGGGGTGGGTCAGGGGGGTGCAGTGGGCCCAGGATATATTCAAGACCATTGCAGTAGCTTTCTTCAGAGAGCATCAAGTTGCTAATGATGAAAGAGAACTGACGACTGAAGTTGGGATATCAACAAAGAAGGGAAGGTTATAAAAGCTGGACACTGTGTGACAAGTACCAGGCAAGCACAGGCAGGCCATACAGGCCAAGTAGGATAACACTGTGCTTCATAAGTTGTCATCCCTGATGTGGGATTGGGGATAAATACTATGCTGACCTGAGAACTCTGGCAGTAATTTTCCAATTCAGTAATTCTGAAGGTTCCATTGACACTTTGCAACTTATTACATGTTTCATATCTATATTTTCTCATATCGTCTAACAAAGAGTATGGTATCCACTTTTGGGTTTCAAAATTCAAAGAAAAATTTTGAAATTTGAGATAGTGATTCAGAGTCAAAATAATGATGAATGGAGTATAAACACCTATAAGAAGCTAGAGCAATTCAAAATACTTTTGATATCTGCAGCAGGTAATATTGAAAGGATCATGAATTTGGAGTATACTTATATTCCAAATGAAACTTAAATGGGATAACATATGCAGACATTCTAGTAAAAAACTTAAAATATAGTAGGTGTTGGAATACATGTGGGTTGAATCAGATTTTTTTTCTCTTCTTGCTCACAGCAGTGCTCAATTACATATGTTGAGTGAATGAAAAAGAAAACGCTGGCACCAGTTAATAATGATCTTCAGATTCATGCAGGCTCTTACGCATCTTTTTTATTAATAATATCCACTGAGGGGAAAAAAGATTATATATAATATATAAATAATATAGATAAATCATAACAAATAATTTTCTAGTACCTGGACTATAAAGTAGTAAGATTGTATACTAAGTGAGATTTTAGAATTATTTTCTCTAGAGTCTTAAAAGTAGGGCAGATTCCCATATGTTAAAGATGGAGTAATTGTGGTCCTGCCCAAGGGTAAAAGGAAGCAATGAGATAATCATCCAAATTCCTTCCAGATTTAGGATTTTGTAAATACTCTGATTAGTGATAACACATTGAATATCCACATTTCCCCCAGATATTTTTAAATAGCCCAGAGTCAGAATTTCATAAATATTTCTTAAATCTTCTGCCATTAGTCCACAGTTCATAATTTGGGTTTTTAAAGCCAGAACTACACATCCATCTGACTGAAATATGAAATCTACAAATAAAAACTGTTTAGTGGGTTTGCATATAAACTGCATCCTCTGCATTGTTTAGCTTCATCATGAAAATTACTTTAATTTCAATGCTGGAATCAAAACAATCCAATCTTCTTAAAAGAAGCCTACTGTCTACTGTAAAGTAATAACATGTTTTTAGAGACTTCTAAGTGCATATCTTGGAATTTCTAACTTAAGTGCATGGTTTGGAAAAATACCAATTGTTGATCGTGAAAGGCTGGTTACATTTCACTATGACAAAGAGGCAAAAATAAAGTACTTATGCTCTTATTTCCTCATATAACCATTTCATCTATGTAAAAAAGCACATGAAATTTTTTGGAAACTCAAGAAAGAAAAGTTTATTATTCTCACGAGTCTTAGAGACAGGAGGTAGAGCAGACCATACAGAGCCATCTATATTCATTGGAAAGACGTTAGGGTGCTCAAGAGACAAAAAGGCGAAGCAAGGGGAAAGCATGAAGCATTAGGCTAGAGACTTTATCGGGGTTCCCCGGGAAAGGCAAAATTTTTAAGATTTGAAAAAGTCATAAAAATATGTAAGATACATGTCTATTTTCTAGAAAGAGATTTTCATTGCATGTTGTATGAAAATAAATTTGAAAAATGTTAAGCATGTATTCAGATAAAACAATAGAAATAAATATAAATAAAGACTTAGTCATGAGCTGAAAACAAACTGTGAAACTGTTTTACTAAGAAACATCAGAAGGGGAATGTGTGAGTTGAAAGAAAAAAGGGTGAAAATGAATCATAGTCAAAACTAAAGTTATTTCACAAGTTTAATGATTAATGAATTATTTTAATCTATATTATAGAGCATTATATCAAAGTCCTATTTTTTTTGGCAATTGTAACATTTTGTTTTAACTCAACTAAAAGAATATCATCTTATTAGCGTAGGTAACTTCAGATACCATTTAATTGTTCCTTTTGCTGCCAGAAAATTTGTATAATGCATGAGTAAAACTAGCTCTTTAATCATTTTAAAATTGGGGTTCTTTGGAAAAGTAAAAAACTCCAGTATTTATAGCTCTATGTTCTTAGCACATCAAAAATCTATTATAAGAAAAAGAAAGGTCACACTATTGTGTTCAGAACCAAAACTCTACATAAAGAAAAATATTACCAAGGGTTTAAGAAGACTTATCATTATCTAAAAATTAGCTATCTAAAATTAAATATCCTTTTGGTTAAAATAGCAATTTAATATTAACTCAAGAAAAAATGTGCATCTATTAATTGTGTATTTTCTGTATATATTATTTTCATAACTAATATCTTCCCTATTCAGTTATACTACTCAGCAAACTATAAGAAAATACATACATGTTAGGGGTGGGATAAAGCACAAAAGAGAGGACTTCTTCAAGTCAGTACATCCTTATACATAAACCTTCCCTTTATACAATGTTACCATCATTAGTAGGCTTTGAAAGACTAACCACGTGTATTCTGCAAATAAGAGATTACAATTAAACAACATGATGTAATACATCAAGAAGATGACCAAAGAAAATCTGCAATAAAGCCATTATATGAACAGTCCATTGTCAGAAAGCAAGAATAAGCACATCATATATGCCAGGCAAAGTATGTGTTGGCTAAGCATGTGGTATCTATCAAAGGCAAGCTATATATTTCTAGGCGTAACTTTAATTTGCCAATGCACTATACAGTAGATTAAGCAGACAAACATTTTAGATAAGTAGAAAATAATTCAAGTGAATATTAATTTTTAAAAATCAGATCTCCTCAATTTATAATGTTGATTGGCAACCCAGCATGTAGTCACAAAATCACTGTGTTAGAATTGCCTTTAAAATGTACATGCTCCCTATATTGCTATGGTCCCTGCTAGAAAAAACTAAGGTACAGCTACTCAATTTTTAAAGGTACCTTAATCTGAAAGAAAATATAGCCTCCAAAAAAATCTGAAGTGGCCTGGCTTTCACAGTAAAAGTGATTTAATTTCATCGTGTTTTTTCCTTACATTTCATCATTATACTGTTTAAGGACGTTACCCTACTATATTTACATACCTTGTAAACATGTATATTAAAGGTGGCAGGCTCAGTGCAAGTTTTACAGAGGGTTCTTGAATTTATTTGCTGGGTATTTAAAAAATAGCTATAAATTTTAAAGTCCATTTTTTTAAAAAAAGAAGCTCTTAAAGATAACAGCATTTTGGAATCAAAAATTAAAGTAACTGACCATGCAATTTCAGAAGTGGGAACTTAGTTTTCCCTTTCCTTAAGTATTGTAAAGATAAGTCAATAAATCAAAAACTCACTGGTTTATATGCTATAAACATGATGGTACAATACATTAAGTTAGACTTTATACATTATCTTAAAAATAAGTTAGAACTAAGATTAAAACACTTATTCATGTCCCAAAATTATTTTTTTAAAATCACTAACAATCACAAAACAAAAAAGTCACCTACCACCTCAACAGATATGAAACAAAAAACTGACTTTAAAAATTCATTTATTACTCGACTTACCTAGAATTAGCTATGTATTCTGATAAGCAGTAATTTTAAAGACTCTACAGTTAAAAGCATATTTTATCTGGAAAAAGCTAGTAGCACAATGACAATTTAGCACACAGTGCATTTATGTACTCTTCATCTGACCTGGTCTCCATTCATTTCACACTTGCAGTATGTTTTAGGAACAAAACTCAAATGTTCCATTTTCTACACTGCTAGATCACTGGTGCTAATGCGAGAATCTGAAAAGCACTGTAGATACCTCCAAGTCTTATCTTACCATGTATGAGCCACAGTGAAGCGACGACGCTGCCGAATGCTTTTATTCACCAGCAACTTTCTGAAAAAGCATGGTGAGTTCCTTGGTGAACTGCGTGGAGAAATTTTAGGAGATGTAGGTCTGTTTCCTGGTAATCTCGGAAGCTCAAGTTCTAAATGCATTTGCTCCTTGAAAGTCTTTATGCAAACCTCAGGTTCAGAAGCAGTAAGTTCCTTTGAAGAATCTTTTGCTGTCATGTCTTGTAAGGAGTGCTAGCTTTCACCATCCAAAACAAAAATCTCAAACATAGCAGAGACACTGCTGCAGGTCAGAAGACTGATAAGTCTGCAAACTATTTCCAGTTTAATTTACGAAGCTGTGACTCCAATGTATGAGCGTCTTAGAGCAAGAGCAGCATACTCGAAGAATAGCAAGTCAGGCTGTCACAAGGAGCTTTATCAGGCTGGCTTTGCCTCTGAAAATGCGCCAAAGTGCTTCCAATGTCAGTAGCCTCCTTGTGGATGAGGTTTGTCTGCAAGCTACACACTGACACTCACTGAATTCATTCAGCTGAATATATCAACTCATGAAATATTCATAAAGGCTTTTGATAAATCCTTTACATGCATTTTTTTAAAAAAAATCTTATTAAACAAGCTGCATTCACTAATGGATAGTAAGCAAAACCTAGTCACTTGTTTTGTTTGCACAAAGAGCAGACCCAGAATCCGTCCAGCATGTGTAATGTTTAAAGTCTTCATTCAGAATTATCTTGCTCTGTAATGCACACAACAGTAACTCCACCTACCAAATGCTATTGGCCCAGGATTATTTAAACAATTGCACTCTGTTTCCCCCTTAACAACACCCTTCATCGCTTTAGATTTCCACAAAATTTGTGAGGCTAACTGTCTTCATCACAGTAAAAACTGATTAAATCCAGGATTGTCAAAAAAAGCTAGCTAAAATAGCCTTCTGAATTCCATTTTTGAATGAAAGAGCTGATTTGCTGAAGTTTTTTTTTCCTCCCTTCTCCAGAAGATCCAAAACAGCATCAATATAAAAAATGTCAGCGAACAGGAAAACATTGGATTTGGTTCATTCCCCCAAGGAATTTAATGCCCAATCTTTATTACAATAAACATTACCCTCATTCTTCTGTTTAAGCTCATTGTTCATGGGTTGCCAACAGCAGCCACTCTATGCTAGATGCACAGCCACTTTGACAGCAAAGCTCACAAAACTGGAATGAAGGTAACAACCAGGAAAAATGAATACTCTCAGTTAAAGCACAGAGTCCAAAGTCAAGCACTATGCATGTGTTTGTGTGTGTGCAGATAGGTGTACAAGATACTGTATGCTTGTGTGTGGGCATATACATTTGAGAGTGGGTGTATTCTTTGTTCACAAAGAATGCAAGTGAGACTTACGGACAGGCGAGTCCAAAAAATGCCTCAAGTCCAAAAGCAGATCACTGTAACCTAACATGTAGATATATATTGGAATACAGCTTCTATACTTTAAAAGGCATATGAGGAAGTAGAAACAATATAGTGGTGCTTGAAGTTTCTGGATGTTATGAAAAGTCTATACCGGCAATGATTGTCACAAGGGCCAGCCTGATCTCAAATAAGTTTGACAAAGCAGAACTAGGGCTCATCAGCAAGATCAGCAAGAGTGACAGAAAAGAAATGATTCTCGGTAAGACTTCAGTGAAAAAGAGAGACATTTAATTCTCCCACTAAGATGTGAGAGATGTCTTCTACGCTTATAAAATCATTTGGGCTGAGCGTGGTGGCTCATGCCTGTAATCCCAACACTTTGGGAGGCCGAGGCAGGCGGATCAGTTGAGGCCAGGAGTTTGAGACCAGTCTGGCCAACATGGGGAAACCTCGTCTCTCCTTAAAAAAATACAAAAATTACCCAGGCTTGACGGCACACACCTGTAATCCCAGCTACTCAGGAGGATGAGGCACGAGAATCACTTGAACCAAGCAGGTGGAGGTTGCAGTGAGCCAAGATCACGCCACTGCACTCCAGCCTTGGTGACAGTGTGCCTTTGTCTCAAAAAAAAAAAAAAATCATTCATCTGTGTCAGATATTCAGGCTAAAATGTGCTAAATATCTAAAGGACTAAATAAGAGCAGACTAACTCCTACATGTAGGAGCAAGTAAGACCCATACCAGCCCTTGGGAAAGTGGTTGAAACATAGTAGGAAGGGTTTAAATTACTGGTTTACGGTACTACTCTGGAAAGCAGAACATTTCAATAATTAACTAAAATATATTATGAACAAAAGCACAGTTATAGAATTTTAGATTTGCACTGAATCCTAGTAATCACCTTGTTCAGCTTCTCATTCCAAAGACAAGGTAACAGAGCTAGAGAATTTAAGCAACTTACCTAAAATCATATTAGCTGCTGATGTTAGAGCTAAAACTAAAACCCAGGTTTTTTGATTCCCAATGGAATGATCTTTAATTCAATTACAAAATTGTAATTTTGTTCAAGTAGGCTCTAATGCATGTTTTAATATCTAAAGATATTTTAACTGCCCTATTTGAGAAGACAAACTATTAGTAATGTCACAGGAGAAAATATGGCTATAAGCTACCTATTATTTGCTGAATTATGAAAACAAAGCTGGGACTTTCCTCCAGCAATAATATGATTTAAAACTGGGACATGAAAATATGTGATTTTGCCATTATTCATAGTGATGTATTGGCAAAAAAAACCCCAGCAATTTGAAGTTACAAAAGATACTTCTCATATTTACTTTTCAAAACTGCCAAAATATAGTAAGCATTTTAGGAATTTCTTTCTAAAAATATTACAGCAAATTTCACAACCCAGATATAGCTATATGTGAACTGGAGTTTAGATAAAGAAATGTTGACATAAACTTACCTAAAGCAGTACAATAGTGCAATTATAATTACTTTCCAATTATTATTGCCAAATTATGTGCCATCACGTGGGATTCCACATTACTTTTTTCACTTTCCCTACTATGACAGCCAAGTTCCCAAGTAAAGAAATTTTGAGAATCATTCTAAGATGTGATGTTCACAAAAATATGTAAAGTCTGTTAATTCTACCTACTCTAGAAAAAAGATAGGAATACCAAAGACAGCCAATTGAAATATAAAATTTAAAAGATAATCGGACTCTTTGAAAGTCTGAATTACTTATTTCTGAAAAAAAAAATGTTTAAGGCAAGAGGAGGAAAGTTTGTTTTTAGAGCCAAACTGCCAAAAAAAAAAAAATGAGACACTTTGCCAAATATTGAAATCAAAGATGAGCCTACAAGATAGGAAATAGCCAATGCTATCTAAGAAAAAGTAAACATAAGCACAGTAAAAATAAATCCTATGCTATATTTCAGCAAAGTATACTATTTGAGAGAGACAGCCAGGAGAACAGGAGAAAAGGCAAATAGAATCTATTTGCCCTGTCAGGTGCCTAGGAAGGAACTAATGAATAAAATGAAAACCTTCCGGTTCATGTATAACCCTTAGCCCTTGGCACCTCAGAAGGAGAAATGAGTAATTCCCAATTAATTTATCAATGTACAGATACTTGAGAATTATTTGAGAAATCCAATTAAAGGTATGTCTCAGGTTTATTTATTTTTTATAACTCAATTACATTTTATTTTATTTTATTTTTTAGACAGTGTCTCGCTGTGTCACCCAGGCTGGAGTGCAGTGGCTCTGTCTAGGCTCACTGCAACCTCTGCCTCCGGGTTCAAGCGATCCTACCTCCTGAGTAGCTGAGATTACAGGCGCCCACCACCATGCCTGGCTAATTTTTTGTATTCTTAGTAGAGACAGGTTTCACGATGTTGGCCAGGCTGGTCTCAAACTCCTGGCCTCATGTAATCTGCCTGCCTCAGCCTCCCAAAGTACTGAGATTACAGGTGCAAGCCACCGTGCCCAGCCTGTCTCAGTTTTAAATAATGAAATTTCTGATATTCACATCCTGTCAAAGCAATAAGAATCAATAATTTATCATAATAAAATATCATTAAAGGATTTGAATAGTTATATAGTCAATAACAATTAAATAATGCATTACTTATTATAAATATTGTGGAAAAATGGAAACATTTTGATTTTCATTGAATTGAAAAGAAAGGTCAATTAATTACAGCCAAAAATATTATAAATTTATAGTGACACTATGATAACTTTGGTTTAAAATGTTTTTAAAATTCAACATCTTTGTAATACAATTATTTTGGATGAAAATAATTACATACTTTTTATATTCAATATCCTTCAAACTTTAAAAGTTGACCTGGAATAAATTTTCTACGAGTAACTACTTTTCAACTATTATAAAACAAAAGTATTTTAAATGGACAAAACTGCAGTTTGTATACAATAATATTATACCTAGCACAACATGGCACTCAAAATAACATGGTTCCCACTTATTGTAAATACAAAGCTGGATATTTGAGAAGACAATGAATTAAGAAGCTTTTTTTAAAAAGACAATCCAGAAGCTTTTAAAAAAAAATCTTTAAAAGAGGAACAGATTTAAGACTATCAATATTAATAAAATTGAATTATTATTGATCATGTCTTTATTTATTTCACTAGCTGGTTCCTTTTTTCTAAAACAACACACAACCATTAGACTCTATTCAAGTAAAGCTATACAAGATCCCTTCCTTCAGTCAAAGACAAGGTAACAGAGCACCAATGAACTAACATACCTCTTCCAGCAGTGTATGCTGTTATACAACAGTATATAACAGTAAATATACTGTTATATATAACTACAGCAACCCCCAAATTGCAACTTCTCCCAATTTTTATATTTTGTTTTAAAAAACGAAGCTAGAGAATTATTCTAACATGATTGAAAAGAAGATAATATTCAACTGAATAAAAATGGTTATCTAGCTCTCTTAGAAAATTAACTGGCAACTCTTTAAAAGAATTATAGAGATGTAACTTACATTTTTTGCATTCCTACTGAGTGCCATATATGGCAGTAAGCATTTCTAATATATTACTTTATTTGATCCTCATAAATATATCAGACAAATACTGTTGAAATTCCCTGTTTGAAATATAAAATCCTTTTGGGCTGGGCTGAGTCTTGTTCAATACTGTATTTCTGGAATTTGGGATAGACTATGGCACAGAGTAGACAGTCAATAAATATTTGTAGACCAAATGTACATTATTTGTAAATTATTATACCCATTTTCAGATAAGAATATCAAGACGCAAGTCCGGGTACAGTTGCTCACACCTGTAATTCCAGCACTTTGGGAGGCCAATGCGGGCGGATCACCTGATGTGGGGGGTTCAGGACTAGCCTGGCCAACATGGTGAAACCCCGCCTCTACTAAAAAATACAAAAATTAGCTGGGCGTGGCAGCGCATGCCTGTAATCCCAGCTACTTGGGAGGCTGAGGCAGGAGAATTACTGGAACCCAGGAAGTGGAGGTTGTGGTGAGCAGAGATTGTGCCATTGCACTCCAGCCCAGGCAGACAACAGTGAGACTCCATCTCAAAAAAAAATAAATAAATCAAAAAATAAAATTGCATAGCTTTTAAGCAGTTGATCCAATACTCAAAACCAGGTCTTTCCACTCTAACTATAGTGTCCATTTTATTATACTTCACCAATGCTATCCAAGCTTTTTATAACAGAGGATACCTTATGGGACAGAAGACGGAATTCATGCTCCCACGGTGATCCAGTCATATTGCTAGAAGTTCATCTTCACATATACTTAACATCCTTGAGTCTGAAGTTATCTAGCATGATATCTTTATAAGATGATGTGAATACCTCACTTTTATCCATATGATGCTATTTAATTACTCATCTTTAGGAAAATGGTGCTTCAGAAAGATCAGTTTTAGCCCATACTACCTGATAGAGTCACCTGAATCCTAGGTGGGAGGCTTGTATCCTAGATGCTTGAGCATGGTTTCATGTTTCTTAGAGATGGTCCCATTCAAGAAAGAATTGCTTACTCAAAGCCCTCCAATGACACCTCATCACCTAGAGTAAAAGCAAAGTCTACACAGTGGCCTTGAGGTCCCTACATGAGGTTTCCCCATCTCCAACTGCAGTACTTCTCTTATTTCGTCTTCTTCAACTCTCCCCCTAGTTCTTCTTCAGCCACACTGGCCTCCTTTTTGTTCACAGAAAATGTTGTTCAAGTTTCCTTTTTCCCAGTATATCTGCATGGTTTGTTCCCTCATCTCCTTCAGCATCTGCCCAAATATCGCTTGCTTCATGAAGTCCCCCATAATCACCCTGTTTAAACCTACCGACCTCCCCTATTCTGATTCATTTTTCTCCATAGTACTTGTCAGCGTATAATATTAATTACTTGTTTATCATAGTCGATATTACTTAACGACTTTGTTATCATCTGTTTACTCCTCCTGAAATTTAACTTTCATAAGGAACAGAGCTTTGTTTGTTCGATCCTGTAATCTCAGCTCCCCAAATACTGTTTGCTACATAGTAGGTATTTAAACAAATATTCATTGAATGAATAAATAACTGATCGCCTTGGTGCAGAATAAGACAAAGGAGGAGGGATCAAACAAAATGGAATAAGCTATTTCTCTCAAATTAGAGTAAGAGCTATATTGGCATTAAGCAGTAGCATTTTCAAAATGTTGTATATTTATTATTTTGTGCAGTTTTCACTGTCTGAAGTGTTATTTCTCTATCATCTTTGTCAAGCATGTCATGTCTCATCCATTAAGGCTAAATTCAAAGGAAAACTCTTCAGTAAATTTTTTCTCAACTTCCATAAGAAGAGTCAGCTGTTTCATCCATCTGTACTCCACCAGCATTGGCTGTCTCCCTCAGAATGTTTTGTGATATGTTATGGTACTTTTTTTCATTTGTCTCCTGGCCTAATCTATGAGCTCTCCAAGGACATAAACTATCGTATTCACCTTTGTATCTTCAGAGGCTGACATTGTGTATTCTGATTGATTAATATTTAGCAGTTAAATATATGAAAGAAAAATAAATTTGGCACGTCAAATCATGCCCTGCTATTAGCCCTGCATTTTTGTTACTGTCTTGAAAGTGATTACAGCCAATATCCTTTTTATACTTGAGCTTACAGAGGATTCCAAATGGAAACTTCTTAAATCACAGCAGTTTATCTATGTTTACCATTTTAGCTAACATTTCTTTGTTCTTTTAATAATAATAATTATTATTATTCACATTCCTGCCGCAGTGCAAAAGCAGAATACCAGTGTGTTGCAATTTCTATTCATTAGGTGGCAGACTGGTAGGAGAAACTTGCCAGGCTTTCTCCTCACAGTGCTTTCTGGTTTTAGCAGAGTAATTAGGTGCTTCTTTCACAAGGCACATTCTGAGAAGGCAGATTACATAGAATAAAAATACTAAGGGAGTTCCTCTCTTTCTTCCCTAGGTCATCATTAAATCAAGATATATTAGCAAGGATGAGTCAGATACCTAAATGGAAGGGGAAGCTGTTCCCATGGTAGATGTTGTAAAAACCACACTAAAAGAGGGTACTCCAGTTCCCAAAGATAATATTAACCTGTCAGCAAATTGTCTATAAGGGTGATTTCAAATGAATAAAATATTAAGGACATAGCTGTTAGAAACAAAGTTATATTTGGGAAAACCTCTTTCTCTAAAATAAGCTTTTATCTTTTTATTATTTCCTACTTTGTCAGTAGTCTTGTCTGAAATAGATAAGAAAAAAATAACATAGTATTAATCTACACTGTAAAATTTTAAATGTAAATAATTGCCTATATAAGTCCAGTTAACTGTGATACTACAGAGATCATAGAGTATAGCACACATTAATATTAAATCAAATCCACTCCACTGCTCTTAAAAAAAGAACAATATGCAGAGATCCATTATGTGTTTAAGTGGACATTCACAAGCTATTTCACAGAGACAATATTTTCCTAAATTAATATTTTACTACTATGAGCCTTATAAGGGTACATAATACATATCAATGTAGAAAATTCTTCCAAAATGGTAGGTTAGATCAAGATCAGCTGACTTAATTTCAAGATTTGTTTTTCACTACATAGTCTGTTTATTTTAAATCTGTTCATATTAGAATTTTTAAAAATTTCAGTAACATTAATGATGATGGCTCATTAGTTCATAACGAAGAAAATAGAATTTTATTTGTCAAGACTTGCTATAAAGTCCTAGAATTTAAATTTAAATTTAAAATTAAATTTAGAGTTAATCAAATTTACTTCAATATAATATTTCATATAATCAAAACACTGCAATATTACATATGTAAAATCAAAGGCTTGAGACATTTGATATGTAAGCATGCTGAGAGTTTTAGCAAAGACTTTTAAAGATAACATATATATATTTTGTTTGTTTGTTTGTTTTTGAGATGGAATCTCACTCTGTCACCCAGGCTGGAAGTGCAGTGGCACCATCTCGGCTCACTGCAACCTCCACCTCTCAGGTTTAAGCAATTATCCTGCCTCAGCCGTCTGAATAGCTGGGACTACATGCGCCCACCACCACGCCTGGCTAATTTTTCTATTTTTATTAGAGATGGGATTTCGCCATGTTGGCCATGCTGGTCTTGAACAAGAACATATATTTTTTGAAAGCTTCCCTGGTTACTATTTTTGTCTCTTTTGTTTTACTTTTTAATTTATCACGAAATAAAATTCACCTTTTTTGGTGTAGGGTTCTATGAAAGTTGACACACATAGATATTCTTGCAATTACCAATATGTTCAGGATATAGAATAGTTGTGTCACCCTCAGAAAACTTTCTCTGCTACACCTTTATAGTCACATCCTTCCTGCCACCACTAATCCCTGGCAATCTGTGATCTGTTCTCCATCACTGATTTGTCTTTTCAATCATATCATATAAATGGAATCATATAGCGTTTAAACTGCTAAGATCAAGTTTTTATTCAGCACAATGTCCTTGAAGTTTAGCTAAGATGTACATTTATTAATAGTTCATTAATTTTTATTGCCAAATAGCATTCCATTGTAAGTCTCTACCAGTTTGTTTACTTATTTGCCCACTGAAGGACAATTGGGCTGTTTCTAGTTTTGAGCTCAATTATAAATAGAGCTTCTGTAAACATCCGTGTACAGGTTTTTGTGTGAATATAAGCTGTCATTCCTCTATGGAAAATACCCAAATGTAGGATTCCTGGGTCATATATAGCCCTGCAAAGATATTTTCTTTAATACTTTTCTCTTCCATCCTAAATAACTATACTCGTTCAACTATCCTTATACAATATAAATTAGATCCTTTTTGATAATACAGTCTGAACCTCTGACATACACAATAGTATATATTACGTTATTAGGGCTTCCATAACAAAGTACAAATGAGTGGGTGGTTTAAATAACAGAAATGTATTGTCTCACTGTTCTGGAAGCTAGACTTCCAAAATCAAGGTGTCAGCAGAATCGGCTCCTCTGAGGGTTGTGAGGGAAGAATATGTTGCAGGCCTTTCTCCGTGGCTTATAGATGGCTGCCTTCTCCCTATGCCTCTTCACATGGCTTTCCCTTTATGCTGTCTCAATGTTGCAATTACCGTTTTTAATAAAGATACCAGTCATGTTGGCTTAGGACCCACCTTAATGACCTTATTTTAACTTTATAATCTCTGTAAAGATCTTTTCTCCAAAATAGGTCACTTTCTGAGGTACTGGGGGTTAGAATTTCAACATATGATTTGGGGAGGACACAAACCCATAAACGTCCATCCTCTGACCCCAAAAATTCATGTCGTTGTCTGTCATATGCAAAATACATTCACCCCATCACAACACCTCCAAAAGTCTTAATTGTTCCAGCATCAACTCTGAGCCTCAAATCTCATTTAAATCATCCAAATCGATTATGGGTGAAACTTGAAGTATGATTCATCCTGCGGCAAAGTTCTTCTCCATCTGGAAACCTATAAATCCAGACAATGAGTTATCTGATTTGAAAATACAATGGTGGGACAGGCACAGGACAAACATTCCTATTCCAAAAGGAAGAAAGAGATCATAAGTCCAAAACCTAGCACGAAAAATTCCATTAGATGTTGAGGCTTGAGAATAATCCTCTTTGGCTCAGTGTTCTGTCCTTTGGGCCCATGAATGGGGTGGCACCAGTTTTCTAGAACCTGAGCATTAGTGGCCAGACCTGCCCTCTGAAACCAAGGAGGTGGTCCTATTTTTCTGGAACCAATGAGGCGATGGCCCCAGTGTTGCCAGGCTTGTGCTCTCTGGACCAATGATGACAGAAGCAGCTCTGCTGGCCTCTAAACTACCTTCTGGATCATTCTTCTCTTTTCTTAAAAACTATCTGCATTATCAACCAGCCAGATAGTTCAATCAACCCATTTCCTGCTTGTAGAATCCCAGAAGTCTGACCATTTTCCTTCACTTCATCCCAGTTCTGTCACCTTCAGTCAGAGTTTGTAGTGTTTCTGCTGATAGAAAACTCTCAAAAATCTTGTTGGCCTCCTGTGCAATTCACAGGGTTCCAAACCACCAGACAAGAGGGTCTTTCACAGATGTTTCCTGGATGATCACATATCTATTCCTGTCTTTTGCTGAGATGGTTGATTGGATTAATGAGTCACATGCTTCTCTTTGTAGCAAATGATTGTCTAGTCACACTTTTGATGCTCTCTCCAGAACACGTTTTCTCATTTCTTGCAATGTAGATAGGCTGAGAATTTTTCCAGTCTTCACACTCTGGTTACGTTTTGCTTAACAACTCCTTCTTCAATGTAGTCTGTCCCTTCACAGTTTACTATAAACAGTAAGGAGAAACCAGGATGTGTTTGCGACCCTTTGCTTAGAAAGCTCCTCAGCTAAATATCCAAGTTCATCACCTATAAGTTCTATTTTTCACAAAGAAACTAGAACACAAGTAGGCCACGTTCTTTTCTATTTTATAATAAGGATCACCGTTCCTCCAGTTTCCAAGAAGATGTTCCTTATTTCTGTCTGAAACTTCATCAGAAACATCTTTAACATTCATAAGTCTAACAATAGTCTCCTGGAGGCAATCTAGACCTTTCCTACCAAGCACTTCAAATCTCTTCCAGTCTCTGCCAACCAAATTCCAAATTCCACATTTTAAAGTATTTTTACAGCACTACCTTAGTACTTCTTGGTAATACCACAGTCTGGGTGGCTTAATCAACAGAAATTTATTGTCTCACAGTTCTGGGAGCTAGACGTCCAAAAATGAAGGCATCAGCTGAGTTAGTTCTTTCTAAGGGCTATGAGAAAAGAATCAGTTCCAGCCCTTTCTTGGGGGGAAGGCAGAAAGAGAAAGAGAGAACCACTGGGAACTAAGAGATAATAACCATTATTTATTGAGAGTTTGCTATGTACTAGTTAATTTTATATACATTATCATCACATTATCACATTTAACCTTATAATACCCCCTTTGAACTGTATAATCTACACTTTACGGATAAAGAAACTGAATTACAGAAACATTAGATGAATTACCCAAGGTCAACCAGTTGGTAAGTATTGGAACCCAAAAACATCTGACTTCAAAACTTAGGCTTTAATCCACTATACTTTATTGCAAAAAAAAAAAAAAGGAAACATGAATACGCCATATTTATATACACATAAATACAACACACTGTATTAAAAACCTATTAACTCCAATTAAGTTGTATCCTGAAACTAGAATTGTTTCTCCATAATTTCATATTTCAGGACAACACAAAGCAATTTGAATAAGCAACAAAAATTAGCAAAATTTTATTAATGAGTAATTTTTAAAAATAATTTCGCCTGAATGCACTTTTACCAATCTTAAGCCAGTTTTGGAAGAAAGTATATTAGTTTAACGTACCTTGGCATGTTCACTCATTTGCAACTCAAAATTTATTTGTCTTTCATGTCAAAAAGAATTTATTTGTCTCTTGTGTTAAAATCTAGAAACGTTTCTTATGTACCTCCTTTTCTTTACCTTAAGTATTATAGGTAGAAATATCATCTCAGGATTCTATTTCCAGATTTTTTACCTTCTAACGGACACACCTGAGATTGATATTTTGGGGCCTCCCAGGTCAGATACTTAATTCTCATGGCTACTATTGCTACAAATAGTGTTTTGGTGTGAAATCTGTACTGATTTTACATGTCTGAGATTTAAAATTATCCAATTTGTGCTATATTATCTATAGCCAATAAATTTCTTTTATTTTATTTTTGGTAATTTAGAAAATTTAGAGGCAAGAGACCAAATTCTAATGATACTGTGTTTTTTAATCTTTTTAAATTTTTCTCATTTTTCTGAAAGTAACTGTACTTTTAGAAGATACTATAAAGTACTCCTTCACACCAATCACCAAAGTAACATGTAGGAATTTTTGAAGTCCTCCTTTCTATCTGTGTCTAGCATCATTTCTGGGTTCAGTTTTCTGAATTTCCTGACACATATTGGGATTTAGTTGGTACAGTATCTATTAAAATAAATGGGCACTGCTTGCCACACACTGAAGCCAAGGAAAATTTTATCTTCATCCAAATACGAACAAACTCAAAGTAAAGCATATTGAGAACACAAATGAGAATCAAATGAAAAGAAAAGAAACACCAACACCCCCCTTTTATAACAAGTGATTTATATTCTAAAGTCACAGCCTATGATTACAGTTGTAGATTCCATCAGATTTTTTTATAGCTAAGAAAATGTGCTTCTTAAGGCAGAGATCCAAATTTCTGAATCGTGACAGCAACAGCTGAAGACTAAAGATAGACAGTCAAAACACCATTTTTCTGTACATTTTCAGTTGTTAAAAAAGCAGTTACAGTACATTATGTATAAAACATATTGTTTTAACCCTATGATGGCTCTACTGGGGAAAAATTTATGACAGAAAATATTATTTTATACCTTCATTATATACACATATTTTTAAAAGTGGTGATGGTTTTTTGTGCATAATGTCGTGTTTTCAAATGTATTTTATATAGATGTGTATAATCATTATCAACAAAATATTCTTATTTCAAACAAATGTTGAATTTGTGGCACCCGTCTCATGGCGACTCACACTCACTTCAGGATCTGTTTGCTTTTACCTCTTTCTGGAAAGCTCTCTCTCTAGATCTTTCTATGGTTCTCTTCTGTTCATACGTCTTCTCCTCAGAAAGTCTGTCCCTAATGACCTGATGTAAAACAACAGCCCTGCCCTTTCTCGTACCTTCCTCAGCTTTAATCTCCTAACAGCTTCTGTCACTCACTCTCTGCCATTGCTATTGCCTGACACCTCCACTAGAATAAAAGCCCTGAAACAACAGAGACCTTTGGTGTTTCATTTACCTCAGTAACTCCAGCACCTAAAGCAGTGTCTGGCATAGAGCTGATGTTCAATAAATGCCTGCTTAATCAATAAAGACCACTTAGTTAAACTGCAAGCGCTTTCACTCCAGGGTCCCATTAAGGGCCTCCTGCTTCATCCTCAGTCACTTCAACCAAGTCCTTAAGCAAATTCATTTTTCAGCCACTGAGAAGAGGTGTAAAAAAACATGTGGAATGATAGACAACAGGCAAGATTAAGCCTTGCCTTGAATTTGCCACTATTGATGGCCTTTTAGCCAACACTGCTAGGGTACCACTGAACGCCTGACCTTCCATAAGCAGAAAAATATTGCAATTCTCTATTCCTTAGTGGGAACACATTTCACTAGACAGAAGGCAAAGCAGACATGAACTTGTGACCTTCCCAATGGAGTAGCGGCACCACCACCCAGCAGGATTCGCTCTTTCAGATAACACAATGGTAACACTGTGTACCAAGGAATGATTCACAGAGAAACAGGAGCTCCGCCAAAGGCAGGAAGGCAATCTGTACAGAATACTATATGCTGAGAGAGCTTTCTTTTCATTACAAAATGAGAAGCAAGCAGTTTGGGGGATGGTAACTGCCTAACTGACATTATATATCCCTTAGAAAGAAGACCCAGAATCTGTGAATCACTTCTTTTTTTCTGGAGTGAGGGTTCCAATAAGGACCTTCATTTCAGTAAAGTAATCAAGATGTTCTTTGAAGTTGATTTTCACAGTTTTTCAAAGCTCAATAAATATTGAAGAAAGATGAAGATGATGGATGATGATGATGATAGTAAAAACTAGGCAAACATTTCAAATACAAATGAGTTGGACGGCCAAAAATATTTGTTAAAGCAGTAACAATTATGGGGATAAATAAAGCAGTAATAATTATAACAGATTTTATACATCTGTTAAAATCCCAGATGTATAAAAAAGGAATGAGATGCCAAGGTGAGAGACCTATAAATCTGCATAAAATTCTAAATGATTCAGTATTCAAAACATTGAACTTGTTGTCAAGGAGATTTATGGTAAGCATAGTAATTCTCTTTTCAATTCTAAGCTATCATTTATACTGTCCAAAAACACTACATTATAATTAAGAACTATTTTGCCATAGATAACATATTTCCTAAACAGTACTCTTGATATTTTTATTAAGATTACTAAGCACAAAAATACAGTAATATATAAAGAATCTGCATGTGAAAATACTTGGGGAAACAAATTAAACCTCTGGTAAACTGAAGAGCAATCATGGAGGAGAATGACCTAAGTGAGTGAATTATTTATAAGGAGTCTGTGTTTTGAGATCAAACCTAAGCCAGGTTCTTCATCATCCTTGAGAAATTCCTTCAGGCTTTCTGTTTCTCAGTGCCTTATCCATAGATGTAAATGTTCGGACCAAGTATTCTTCAGGGCAATTCAAGTGAACTAATAAGTGAAAATTTAAAATTAAATGGTAGTGCACCCAGGAGCAGTGTCTCATACTGGTAATCCCAGTACTTTAGGAGGCCAAGGCGGGTGGATCACCTGAGATCAGGAGTTCGAGACCAGCCTGGCAAACATGGTGAAACCCCATCTCTACTAAAAATACAAAAATTACCCGGGTGTGCTGGTGGGCGCCTGTAATCCCAACTACTCTGGAGGCTGAGGCAGGAGAATCACTTGAACCTGGGAGGCGGACGTTGCAGTGAGCTGAGACCGCACCATTGCACTCCAGCCTGGGCAACAAGAGCAAAACCCCATCTCAAAAAAAAAAAAAAAAAAATTAAAAATTAAATTAAATTAAAATTAAATGGTGCTGCATTTACAACGCAATCTGGCACAAATATTTGAATAGTATACTCCTTTGCAGGATGTAAAATATGCTCTAAGTATTATCACATTCATTTAAAAATATTACCTGTAAAGAGGGAAATCCCAGCCTAATGTGGCTCCACAGCTTTTATACACAGTTACCTGCTGGATTACCATTTGTGCACTTCTCCAAACTCAAAGTAAAAAAGTAAAACTTTCTCCTTAGTGCCTAAAGCAAGCTTTTCAGAGCAAAGAGCAAATATGGTATGCTGTATAGGATAACACAAAGTGAGTTTCTGAAGATTAGAATATGTAACAACAGTTCATGGAAGAAAGAACAAGAACTATACATCGCCATCTCCATTTCCCTATGGTACATAGAACAATGTTAGATCTGATTTTTTTATTACAAAGTGCACAAAGTACAAAAAGTACAGTGAATGTACATTCACTGAGGGGTTATTACTGCTAAATATTTGAAATATTTCTCAGGTAATGCTTCAAGTAATTCCATGATACAGGCTTTATTATTGGGAAAACTTCATTGAAAACAATTGAGTTTCAAGAATCTAGTAATGATGCTCTCAATGCTTTTTTCTCTGTAATTAAGTCTATGTTCTTTTCATTATGTCAGTAGTTCTCCAAATGTGGCTCCATGATTGGCACCAAAGGCATCACTTGAGTTTATATCTCTTAAAAGCTTTCTAAACCTGTTTAAAATATTGCTACCTACTGAATCAGAAACTCTGGGGAGTGGGACCCAGAAATCCCTTAACAAGTCTTCAGGTGAATCTGATGCACACCAATATTTGTGAACCACTGCATTCTGCCATGTTTTCAGAGTTGATAATCAAGGAATTCTAGCATATAATGAGACCAGAAGAAAAAGGGAGAATTATAACTAGTAGATCAAGTTTCCTAAAAATAGATTTACAGGGCTACAAGGTAGCTTCAGTTAACATAGTGAGTGTGAACTTTCTCAAACTCAAAAATGCTTATGATGGGATGAAAAATAGATCCTATCACATGTGTCAAGTCAAACTAGTTGGCTGTGACTACCTGAAACACTCTGTTAGTCCATTCTCACACTGCTATAAAGAACTACCTAAGACTGAGTAATTTATGAAGAAAAGAGATTTAATTGACTCACAGTTCTGCAGGCTGTACAAGAAGCATTGCTAGGAAGCCTCAGGAAACTTAAATCATGATGGAAGGTAAATGGGAAGCAAGCACGTCTTACCACAAGTGGGCAGGAGAGACAGAGAGATAAGCAGGAAGTGCCACACACTTTTAAATCATCAGATCTTATGAGAACTCACTCACTATCACAAGAACACCAAGGGGAAATCTGCCCCCATAATCTAATCACCTCTCACCAGGTCCCGCCTCCAATTTGACATGAGATTTGGTTGGGGACACAAACCCAAACCATATCATTCCATCCCTGGACCCTCCCAAATCTCATGACCTTCTCACATTTCAAAACCAATCATGCCTCCCCAACAGTCCCACAGAGTCTTAACTCATTCCAGCATTAACTCAAAAGTCCAAGTCCAAAGTCTAATCTGAGACAAGGCAAGCCCCTTCTGCCTATAAGCCTGTAAAATCAAACACAAGTTAATTACTTCCAAAATAAAATGAGGGTACAGGAATTATGTAAATGCTCCCATTCCAAAAGGAAGAAAGCAGCCAAACCAAAGGGGCTACAGGCACCGTGCCAGTCTGAAATCCAGCAGGGTGGTCATTAAATCTTAAAGCTGCAAAATAATGTCCTTAGACTCCATGTCTCTCATCCAGGGCATGCTGATTCAAGGGGTGGGCTCCCAAGGCCTTGGGCAGCTCTGCCACTGTGGCTTTACTGCATACAGCCCCTACATCTGCTTTCACAGGCTGGCATTGAGTACCTGAGGCTTTTCCAGGCACATGGTGCAAGCTGTCGATGGATCTACCATTCTGGGGTCTGGAGGACAGTGGTCCTCTTCTCACAGCTCCACTGGGCAGTGTCTCAGTGGGGACTCTGTGTGGGAGCTTCAACCCCACAGTTCCCCTCCACACTACCCTAGTAGAGGTTCTCCAGGAGGGCTCCACCCCTGAAGCAGACTTCTACCTTGACATCCAGATGTTTTCATACATCCTCTGAAATCTAGGTGGAGGTTTCCAATCCTCAACTCCTGTCTTCTGTGCACCTGCAAGCCCAACACCAGATGGAAGCCACCAAGGCTTGGGGCTTACTCCCCCTGAAGCAATGGCCTGAGCTGTACCCTGGCTCCTTTTAGCCACAGCTGGAGCTGGAGTGTCTGGGATGCAAGGTGCCTTGTTCCAAGGCTACAGACAGCAACAGGGCCCTGGGCCAGGTCCACAAAACCATTTTTCCCTCCTACACCTCTGGGCCTGTAATGGGAGCTGCAGTGAAGGTCCCTGAAATGCCCTGGAAACATTTTCCCCATTGTCTTGGCTATTATCATTCAGCTCCTCTTTCCTTATGCAAATTTCTGAAGTAGGCTTGAATTTCTACCCAGAAAATGGGTTTTTCTTTTCTACCACATGGCCAGGCTGCAAATTTTCTGAACTTTTACACTCTACTTCCCTTTTAAATATAAGTTCCAGTTTCAGATAATCTCTTTGCCCATGCATATGAGCATACACTTTTAGAAACAGCCAGGTTACATCCTGAATGCTTTGCTGCTTAGAAGTTTCTTCCACCAGATAGCCTAAATCATCTCTCAAGTTCAAAGTTCCACAGATCTCTAGGGCAGGTGCAAAATGCCACCAGTCTCTTTGCTAAAACATAGCAAGAGTCAACTTTACTCCAGTTCTGAATAAGTTTCTCATTTCCATCTAAGATCACCTCAGCCTAGACTTCATTGTCCATATCACTATCAGCATTTTGGTCAAAACCATTCAACAAGTCTCTAGGAAGTTCAACACTTTCCCACATCTTCCTGTCTTATTCTGAGTCCTCCAAACTGTTCCAACCTTTGAGCATTACCCAGTTACAAAAGTTGCTTCCACATTTTCAGCTGTCTTTATAAGAGTGCCCCACTCCCCCAGTATCAAATTTCTGTATTAGTCTGTTCTTATGCTGCTATAAACAACTACTTGAGACTGGGTAATTTATGAAAAAAAGAGGTATAATTGACTGACAGTTCACAGGATGTACAGGAAGCATGGCTAGGAGGCCTCAGGAAACTTACAGTCATGATGGAAGGTGAAAGGGAAGCAAGCGCATCATACTATGGTGAAGCAGAAGAGAAAGAGAGCAAGGGGGAAGTGCCACACACTTTAAACCATCAGATCTTGTGAGAGTTCACCCACTATCACAAGAACACCAAGGGAAATTCCACCCCCATGATTCATTCACCTCCCACCAGATCCCTCCTCCAATTCAATATGAGATTTGGGCAGGGACACAAATCTAAACCATATCACACTGACATGAGAAGGTTTGTGAGACTGCAATGAATAGAAACAAAGATGCCTTGATTAATAGGTAATGTCTGCCATGACCCAGGGAGAAGGGAATGGCAACACCCAAGCATTGTAGAGTGATCAACTATGAGCACCTATAGTTATGTTAACATCTGAATATTTCCTATATAATGAGCCAACTTAAAAATGCAGCTTTAGCAATCAGTAGTTTATTAGAAATAACAATGAGACCTTAATATAGAATCAGGTTGAAGCAATCCATGATAATTACAAATAGTCTATTTATTGTCATTGATCACATCATAATTATTGATAATGGTTTTTAAGAACATTTTTTAGTTTATTAAAAGTACTTTATTATCGCCACATGTAAGGAGGAAATCTCTAAGTAGAAATTGGAAAAGAGGGCAACCGTGATCTAAAATTTCCATCTTGGTGACATAAAAATTATTCCAGGCCAGGTATAGTGGCTCACACCTGTAATTCCAGCACTTTGGGAGGCTGAGGCAGGCAGACCACCTGAGGTCAGAAGCTCAAGACCAGCCTGATCAACATGGCAAAACTCCATCTCTACTAAAAATCCAAAAATTAGCTGGGCATGGTGGCATGCACCTGCAGTCCCAGCTACTCGGGAGGCTGAGGCAGGGGAATTGTTTGAACCCAGGAGGTGGACGTTACAGTGAGCCGGCATCGTGCCATTGCTTTCCAGCTTGGGTGACAGGGCAAGACTGTCTCAAGAGAAAAAAGAAAAAAAAAAACCCAGTGCTACATTTATGTCCTATAATGGTTTTGCATTGTTTTGTATGCTTTAGATTAGAATTCTTTAAGATTTATTGGATGTATGAATGTGTCTGTCTCTTCAAAAACTGTATCAAAGTCCTTTAAAGAGAGAGATCTTGTGTTGTTCCTTTTAGTGTTTTTCCCACAATACCTTCCTGCAGTCTTCTGATCACAATAGCGCTGGAATATTTGTTAAACATAAATTAGTAGCAAAAGGATAATAACTACCAATTCCTAGGTGTCTATTGTGTCCAAGTTTGCAAATATAGTAACAACTTTGCATGATATGTACTTTCATCTCCCATTGTACATTCAAAGAAACTCTTGTTCTGAGATTCAAAGCTGAAAAATACTAAGTACTGAAGTTTTATTCAAACCCAGCTGTCTCACTCTAAACATCTTTCTCCAACCAAAATGTCTCTTCTAAAAATCAGTTACTCTATAAAATACAGTATATATTATTTTATACATAAAATCATAAAGATAAATATATATTTTATATATCAATATAAACATAGTCACTGAGTTTGAGTACCTACATTAGTAAATCTACATTCATTCATAATTATCTGTGGGTTGAAGCAATTCTGTCACTCATTTACCTTCAGTTTCCTTCTATGGAAATGGGACCACTTTAAGGAATAATTCTGTGTGTCTTCCCAATCAATGGAAATGGTTCTGGAGCTGATTTTTTTTCCTAATATTGTCAATTAACTAATGCTCAAAGCTGGCTAGCCCTGGGTTTTTCTGAAACAAACAGAATGGATAGATTTGCAGCCAACAGAACACTTTGCTCCAACAACTTTACCTAAATGCAATCAAAAAACATTCAAGACAAATTATTCACCAGTCTAGAATTTTCTTTAGCAACAATTTGTCATGTTCAACTCTATGCATGGCCCAATGTAGCATTCAACAAACATTTGATTCCAAAGAAATAAAAAACAGTAGAGTATATTTTCTCCTCTCTTTACTGAAAAGGCTTGCTTGTAGTAAGACTAGTTACAGTGGAACTGCATCTAAATAAAGGAAAAAATTGAAAATAATGTCCAGAAATAGTTATGCAGAAACACTAAGTGAATCAGAGTATATTAGATAGAATTTAATTCCTCATTTTCCTCCATTTCTAGTCTACTTTTTGGTAAACAGCATACACCTTCAGATTGATTGTGTCTCTCATCCAATTCCACACTTACCAGTTGAAGAATATTGTCACCTTTTGGCCAAAACTACTTTCCGTCAAAGAAAGCTAATCCAGATTACAAATTGTTTCTTCCACAGGAATATATTCAGCTTTATCACACCTCTTCCCAAATAATCTAACCTTTAAAATGTTATACCGAGAAAAAATTCTAAAACTCAAAAAGCTAAGATACACGGATCTCCCAAGAACTCACAGGCTCTAACAAATGCATAATCCCAATTGACAAAAAAATATCCTCTCCAAAATATGGCAAGATAAAGAAGTGTACACATTTGCCCAGTGGGCCATTTGAAGGAATATTCTCCCGGCCTTTTGGGGGACTGAGTGTCTAAATGGCAAACTGATTCCCAAAACAACTGGCTATCTGACCACAAGGCATATGCATTAAAACACACTTCTATGCGAAAGTGCAAGGGACCTAAATGTTTAGAAACTTAAAAATCAAAACATATAAGTTTAAAATAAACATAAAATCCAATAAATGCACAGTCATAATATATTACCAAATTTTTTATACCAGAATCTACCTAGTCTGCCTAGGAAAAATGATGTTATTTCAAAACAGAGAGAAGCAATAATGATGGATATATCTTGGTAACACAGATAATGGATTTTATATTCATAAGATACAAGACTTGGCATTTAAAAGTCCAAAGGAAAAAGAGATTATGACCTACTTTTTTCATTATTGATAATGATGCTCATTTCTGAAAATCTTTCAAATGATATATTGTTATAGCTACAGGAATATAGCAAAATACCTACTTAAGCATTCTAGAGATGATTACTTGGAGTTAGTCAATTTTGGCATGAATCATTCTCCCTCATTTACATTCTCGATTTCTCAAAAACAGCTCATACTGCTGATAACACCATCCTCTCTGAATATTTTCAGGGACTATCATATTCTACTTCGGAAATAGTTGGAATAAATATCACTCTCAGCATTTTCATTTCACTTCCACTACATATCATTCTCCAAACTATGCTGGTGGCTACAAATGTGTGACTTGATCAACTTATTCCTTTATTCATTAATGGGTTTTTTATTAAAGTCATATAAGGTGCTTCATGAAATGATTCCCTTAGAAATCTCCCCAGCATACCTATTACTGTCTATTAATAGAGATGCCTAAATAACTACTTAGTACCACATAGATGTTCATAGCAGAGAAAGGCAATCGCTGCTATTAACATGTCTTCTGCTTTCTAGAAAATGCATTGGTACTTCAAAGAAAATTTAATGGAGATGTTTTATATAGAAAAAGCAATCAAGTTATTAAAGGACCAGGTGTCATTTTCTAAGCACATAGTCATAATATTATAAATTAAAGTACAAAAATTAGTCACCTATCTCAATTGCCTAGCGTCTAGTCACTGGCAAATTAAGCTGATGAAGCCAAGATGTAAGTTTTTGTGCCTCCAGGCTTCACTGTCTCTAATTTATTCCTCTCTGTCTCTCACTACAATTACTTATTTTCCTGAATATAACAGCCTGACCATGTCACTCTTGCTTTATACAATTCAATGATCCCAGATGCCTACTAGATAAATTCCAATCCCTTTAGTTAATGCCTCTCCAGAAGCTCTTTAGCCTCTCCTCTCTTATCCTTTAGCCTATCCTTTCTTATTTGAGGCAAACTCAAGCCAAGATCCCGTCCTGTCCAGACCCGGGTTTTCCTTTGGCCTCATTTCCTGCTACTGCACCGCACACCTCATGTATGGAGTCCTCCAGGTGCACATTTTTTCACATGTTCACTCATTTAGTCACTCATGCTGCTTGTTATACATGCATTGCTTGTTATAGATGCAATGTTCTCCTTCCTTTCTTCCCCAGTGTATTTCACCCCAAGACCTAATCGAATGTCACTTCCATTCTTGGAAGATCTCACTGATGCCTCCAGGTTGGTTGGTATTTCCATTGTGCTCAGTAGATACCTTTACCATAGAACTTATTACATTATATACTTGTTAATTGTATATTGGCATATCTATTTCCCCCAGTTGAGTGTGAACTCCATGAGAATATGGCTCATGTCTTAATCTTTATATTTTAAGTCCTTACCAAATCATAAGACCCACTGTAAACACATAGTCACTTTTGGCTGGTTAAGTGAATAAAGTATGAATCCCAGAATATTTGACAGCAATATATTACACTAATACCTCCCTGCCATTTATCTTCCAAATACATGTATCATTCTTCTGCAAAAAGCCATAGGAAAGAAGGTAGTCTAGCCCCTGCCTCTGGACATGTAGTCCAAAATGTATTTCCCATTTTTAGGTTTGTATTGTCAGTTTCATATGGAAGAATAGAACCGTACAACCTTTAAAGCACAACAAACTTACTTAGAAAAAAAAAAAAAGAAAATATTTGTAAATTCTCATAAATTCTTAGTATACAATTAAATATATTTTAAACCACTAAATCAGTTTGAATGCCTGCTACATGAGTACAATAAAAGTTTGTTAAATAAGTAA
Organism: Homo sapiens; assembly: GCF_000001405.40. Taxonomy (NCBI): domain Eukaryota; kingdom Metazoa; phylum Chordata; class Mammalia; order Primates; family Hominidae; genus Homo; species Homo sapiens. The sequence continues at coordinate 65,970,102 of NC_000001.11, read as the reverse complement.
ATTTATAAATGAATACAAGTATTAATAAATATAAAAATAATACTTTAAGATGTATATTAAAAGGCACTTATACATTGTTTATTACTATACCTAAGAAAGTTGAATTATTAAATGAACTTTTGAGATTGATATTTAGAAGTAGTTGAGAGTGGACCATAATTTTCTGATAAATTCCTATTTGTTCTGGCTTAGAATTGTTATTAGAATGGAAAATGAGTAAGCACTAGTAGAGCACTCTCAAAATAATACTGGAAGAGCAATTCAAAGCAAAACTCTGCGTCTAAAAAAACACCAAGGGAAAAAGAAATAAAGAAACAAAACTAATCATACCATTTATATGACCTAACCTTTCTTCTTTTTTAATGCTTTTGAGAATCACAGTAAAAATGTCATTAATATCCATGGGCAAAAGTATAAAATACATATCATTACAAATATTGTCACAAATCTAAAATTTGAAGATGTTGCTAGAATTCCAGCAATATGTAGTACAATGCAGTAGATCTTCTCAAAAAAGTTAGTGCTTTGAAATATTCAGAAAAAAGTTTTTTCAACTAAATACATTGCTAAGCTAACCAAGTGTTAATTGATTCTCTAGCAAATTAAGGGAGCTAATGCCTGAAAACAACTCTTCCATACCGTGTTTGGTAGTAATTAGCATTATTCATCAAGTGTCCCAGCTGTCTTCTTCCTAGGCAGATGGTAGGATAGTACTTCCTGCCCCTCTGTGAAAATATGGAGCATGTGACTAATTCTAGCCAGTGATTTATAACTGGATATAACCACACAATTCTTTGCCAAAGTGAGACCCTCTCAGAGCTCTTTTTGCTCTCTTGCACTTACCATGAAAATGTTTGAGATGGTGGCGGCTGTCAGCCTGGGTTCCAGAGTAATTGTGATCAGTCCAATTCATCCATACCCAAGATGAATGTGTCATATGAGCAAGAAGAAAACCTATAGTGTTTTAAACCTCTGAGAGTTTGGAGTTGTTTGTTATAGCATCATAGCCAGCTTATCCTGACTTATACACCCTGAAAAAGTACGGTGTTTCTCAGGTAAAATTAAATGAGATAATTTGTTACATTCTATTTTCTACAAACTATTAGATCAAAGGAACAAAACGAGCAATGCTGTGTCAAAATGTGGTTATGAATATTTTAATATAATTATCTCCTTTACATGGAAGTTTAAAGATGCTTTGCATTAAGAAAAGTCCTTTAATGAAATAAAAATATAGGTTGGGTCATAATTACATGACAATATGACTCACTATATGAAGCATTCCTTCAAACGGTCAGTTTACTCTGGTACTCTAAAAATACGAGAGTTAATAAAACATAAGTTACTAACTGCATTTTTAAAATGGATTTACATTGTAATGTGAGGTGTACCCACACTGTCACTAAAATGCTAGAAAACACCAAATTTGTGTTTATTCTGGTCCATTACAACAATTCACAAGGAAATGCAATTTAGGAGTTTAATCTTTCTAAATTTCTCTATCTCATCAAAGAGAACTCTATGATGACAAGCAATTCTCCCAATAAGAATAACTTCCCATTCCTCTAAGATCTTGCTTTAAACAATGAGTGAATTAAAAAAAAAATTATAGTCAACCCAGTAGGAGGGAACACAACTTTCTCACTGGAGGAAGGGACCCCAAGGCCAGGGACTGTGTGTGCCTTGTTTACAGGCCTGTTCTGCATGACATAGCACAATGCCTGACATACAGAGAAGACATTCAATAAGCATCTGTGGAATACATTAATAAATACATGAGCTTTGGCAATAGAGAAAGAAAAGAAACCCTTAGGTATTCTGATCTGAAAGATACTCTCATTAGAGTTAATCTAGTCCAATCCTCTTTTTAACAAATGGGTAAATGGAGCCACAAGGAGAAGAACCCATACACTGAGTTAACAGAAGAGCTGGCGTTAGAACTCAATCGCAGCTGGTCTGAGTATTGGTTTCTCGGTCCATAGTCTTTCTATTATGTCATTCTATGTATTAGCAACACAGATTAGAGACCTCCAGACAAGCACATTTTCTAGCTCAATCAAGTATGCATTTTTTTTCTTTTTTTAAATTATACTTTAAGTTCTAGGATACATGTTCAGAACATGCAGGTTTGTTACATAGGTATACACATGCCATGGTGGTTTGTTGCACCCATCAACCCATTATCTACATTAGTATTTCTCCTAATGTTATCTCTCCCCCAGCCCCTCACCCCTCGAAAGGCCCTGGTGTGTGATGTTCCCCTCCCTGTGTCCATGTGTTTTCATCGTTCAACTCCCACTTATGAGTGAGAACATGCAGTGTTTGGTTTTCTGTTCCTGTGTTTGTTTGCTGAGAATGATGGTTTCCAGCTTCATCCATGTACCTGCAAAGGACATGAACTCATCCTTTTTTATGGCTGCGTAGTATTCCATGGTGTATATGAGCCACATTTTCTTTATCCAATCTATCACTGATGGGCATTTGGGTTGGTTTCAAGTCTTTGCTATTGTGAACAGTGCTGCAATAAACATACGTGTGCATGTGTCTTTATAGTAGAATGATTTATAATCCTTTGGGTATTGCTGGTTCAGATGGTATTTCTAGTTCTAGATCCTTGAGGAATTGCTACACTGTCTTCCACAATGGTTGAACTAATTTACACTCTCACCAACAGTGTAAAAGCATTCCTATTTCTCCACATCCTCTCCAGCAACTTGCTGTTTCCTGACTTTTTAATGATTGCCATTCTAACTGGTGTGAGATGGTATCTCATTGTGGTTTTGATTTGCATTGCTCTAATGACCAGTGATGATGAGCTCTTTTTCATATGCGTGTTGGCTGTATAAATGTCTTCTTTTGAGAAGTGTCTGTTCATATCCTTCACCTACTTTTTGATGGGATTGTTTTTTTTCTTGTAAATTTGTTTAAGTTCTTTGTAGATTCTGGATATTAGCCTTTTGTCAGATGGATAGATTGCAAAAATTTTCTCCCATTCTGTAGGTTGCCTGTTCACACTGATGATAGTTTCTTTTGCTGTGCAGAAGCTCTTTAGTTTAATTAGATCCCATTTGTCAATTTTGGCTTTTGTTGCCATTGCTTTTGGTGTTTTAGTCATGAAGTCTTTGCCCATGCCTATGTCCTGAATGGTATTGCCTAGGTTTTCTTCTAGGGTTTTTATGGTTTTAGATCTTATGTTTAAGTCTTTAATCCATCTTGAGTTAATTTTTATATAAGGTTTAAGGAAGGGATCCAGTTTCAGCTTTCTCCATATGGCTAGCCTGTTTTCCCAACACCATTTATTAAATAGGGAATCTTTTCCCCATCGTTTGTTTTTGTCAGATTTGTCAAAGATCGGATTATGGCATTATTTCTGAGGCCTCTGTTCTATTCCATTGGTCTATATATCTGTTTTGGTACCAGTATCATGCTGTTTTGGTTACTGTAACCTTGTAGTATAGTTTGAAGTCAGGTAGCGTGATGCCTCCAGCTTTGTTCTTTTTGCTTAGGATTGTCTTGGCTATACGAGCTCTTTTTTGGTTCCATGTAAAATTTAAAGTAATTTTTTCTAATTCTGTGAGGAAAGTCACTGGTAGCTTGATGGGAATAGCATTGAATCTGTAAATTACTTTGGTCAGTATGGCCATTTTCATGATATTGATTCTTCTATCCATGAGGACGGAATGTTTTTCCTTTTGTTTTTGTCCCCTCTTATTTCCTTGAGCAGTGGTTTGTAATTCTTCTTGAAGAGGTCCTTCACATACCTTGTAAGTTGTATTCTTATGTATTTTATTCTCTTTGTAGCAATTGTGAATGGGAGTTCACTCATGATTTGGCTCTCTGTTTGTCTATTATTGGTGTATAGGAATGCTTGTGATTTTTGCACATTGATTTTATATCCTGAGACTTTGCTGAAGTTGCTTATCAGCTTAAGGAGATTTTGGCCTGAGATGATGGGGTTTTCTAAATATACAATCATGTCATCTGCAGACAGAGACAATTTGACTTCCTCTCTTCCTATTTGAATACCCTTTATTTCTTTCTCTTGCCTGATTGCCCTGGCCAGAACTTCCAATACTATGTTGAATAAGAGTGGTGAGAGAGGGCATCCTTTCCTTGTGCTAGTTTTAAAAGGGAATGCTTGTAGCTTTTACCCATTCAGTATGATACTGGATGTGGGTTTGTCATAAATAGCTTTCATTATTTTGAGATATGTTCCATCAATACGTAGTTTACTGAGAGCTTTTAGCATGAAGGGGTGTTGAATTTTGTTGCAGGCCTTTTCTGCATCTATTGAGATAATCACGTGATTTTTGTCGTTGGTTCTGTTTATTCAACAGTCTTAAAGAAAAATATGCATGTTTTTGTTGAGTGCCAATAATACGCTATGCACTGTGCTAAGCACTAGTGGCAAAAGTTGAATAAAATGTAATTTTTGTTTTACCTTGATCTATTAATTGGAAACCCTCCTGGTTGATAATATTTACATGCCAGTTTGGGTTTGTTCCCATCAGATAAGCTGTTAAGAAATGTTAAGTCTTGGATTTCTGGGAAATAAGGGCATTCATTTTATGAAAAAAAAAAAAATCACAAGATTCCTGGAACTGTTCACCACTGTTTAATATTTAAACCTATGAAAGTGTCTAATGTGTATCGCTTCATATAAAATGTACTTAATTTTTATTCTGAGGATGCTATCTTTCTGTACTGGGTACTTTGACAACAATATGTGCTTTGTAACCCTTTGAGAATAGGATCCTGCACCAATTTCACTGAAGTTTGTAACCACAGACTATGCAAAGCTGAATTCTAATTAATCGTACAGTAAAAGCTTTGTTCTCCTTTTCCATGGGGGGGGGAGGAAATGCCTTAACTCTTTAAGCAGGCATCAATTCATGTTACCCAAGGTGTTTTCACTCCTCTAGGTTACCCCCACTCACCTTTCTAAAACCTGTCCCTAAATAAAAGGGCAGGAATGTAATGAATTACAGGACCCTACACCATACATTTGGCACATATATATGTCTCATTTTAGTTAATTGTGTAAGATTCTATCCCCTTCAAAATTCAGTACACTCATGAGAATAAGTTCTCCTGTAACTAAAACAGCCGAGCGTGCTTCAACAGTAAAAACAGCACAGTGAAAAATGCAAATAGGCAAATAGAGCAATATGACTTAATCACTCTCCCCAGATATATCCACTGGGTATAACCACTGTTAAATTATTATATTTTTCTAGTCCTATATGTAATACACACACACACATGCACATACACAATATGCAAAAATTGTTATTATAGTGTTTTGTAGCTGAATTCACCACTTAGCAATATATTCTGAATATCTTTTCACAGCAGCAAATATTCTTCTACAACATGGTTTTAAATGGTCAGATAGCAGTTCACTATCTGTCCAAATTAAATCATGCTCACTTACTGGAGATGTAGAATTGTTATTCTTTTTCAAAATTTAAATAATGCTCTAGAAACATCTCTATATATTCCACTTTATGAACATCTATTACTTAGACTCATGTCCTCATCATTTTACATTAGCCAGGACATTAATGGACACATTGTAAACACACAGAGTTTTCTGGTGAATTGATTTTCACACTATGGTTTATAAAAGTTAATTTCTCTTGCCATAACCAAAAATACCAGAATCCATGAATCTTGACCTTCTTGATACTAATGCATGCTTACTGAAAGCTGAGACTTAGAGTCTTCAATTACAAGTGTGATATCATAGCTGACTTTTTATGGTACTTTGCAATAAGTTGTCTTGGAAACCTTTTAATTGTTTAACCGTTTTATTGCTTGGCATGTAACCTGGGAAGACTTTTGTAAATAAACAACTTTAAAAGACAGTATTAGTACAAGCATAGAATTCTCATTTCACCTGATTCTCTTTCACCCGAGAACTGCTAGAGAAGAAAGTATATGTGTGTGTCAGCTCACCCATGTGCCTGACCTGGAATAAATTTTTTTCTCAGTGTAAGTGTTATATCAATCATTTAACAATAATATATTCAGAAAGTTCAGAGGAAATATTTTTTATTCTTATCACTTCTCAGAAACAGGGAAAATAATTGCTTTTAGGAAAGCTGACAGAAACCAAATTCTTCTGATAATTTACCAGTTTCTGCAAATGTATAAAGATTTTTACATACAAGCATAAATAGGGATAAAAGAGAGGAAAATGTAAAGAAAAACCTGGATTCCAGGTAAAAAGGTATTTGTACAGTCCAAGCTCAGCTAATTAGTTTGGGTAACCAGTTTGTTTCTAAAACAGGATGGATGATTCTGCTTTTTGGAAGGCAATGATTGTGTTATTTGAAGAAGGAAGAATGAGTGTGACAGGGCTCGCCTCAGGCCAATGTGAACACACTAAGGAGAGGCACTGATCAAGCAGTTAGCACCCATGTGGCTAAAGAGTCAGAGCATCCCATAACTGAGTTAATAAACTTCATTTTCTGCTCAAGGAAGCCTAGAACTTGACAGGGGATGATAAGCTGACAACAATCACATCTAGGTAAAAATGTCAGAACCCAGGTCTCAAAATCCTCTGAGAAGCTGGTGTTTGCTGCTGTCACAAAGTTACTTTCCCACTGCTGACAGGCAAATTGTAAATCACAGCTGGCCAACCTTGCTGCAGGGGTGCAATGAGGGACACCTCAAGCATTAATGCAGTAGGCATTTACTGACAGCTGCGACATTCTCCTCGCTGTGCTGGGCATGCTGGGGAGGAAAGGGAAGTTTAAAATAGTCTCTCTCTTCAAGGAGCTGGAGGGCAGGCTTGTAGGCAGGCCTCCCACTGCCTGCAGTCGCAGGGCCAAACGCACTACTGTTCTAATCGGTGCTTTTGGAGTTGCAAGGTTCAAATAAACTCACAAAACCCAAGTAAAAATAAAGGTGGGGGCAGGGGGTTAGTATAGAAGGAGAGTACTTTAGGTAAGGCAGTATGCATCCAGTGGTGTACGGGAGCTGACTTGTCGCATCTTGAGAAAGGTGATTATTAAATTTTCAGGAATTTTCCAAGCCAGTTGGTAGCTGGAAATCAGCTATGGTGAGAGTATTTACAACATGGAAATCGACAAACACTACCAATCAAATTCTGGCTTGTTGTTGCTGTTGTTTCCTGGGGACCCAGTTGTTAAATACTTCCTAGCCCACCACCACATACAACCCAGTTTTCCCAGTGATTTGGAGGTTTTCGTCTGTAATTATTAATAGCAGCCACTTTCACTTTCAAAAGAGTGCCATTTTGGATCTAAATTACATGGCCCCCCTAATTTTGGGATAGAAAGATCTCTGGGATCTAGGACAGGACATAGACCTGCCTCGTGAGGCCTAAAGAACTGGAAATGCAACAGAAACTGAGGATCTGCTGCTCTCCATTTCTCTCCGAGGTTTCATAATATTCCATCTTTGCTTCTCTCTGTACTTGTTCCATTTTTCTCTTTCTGTAGATAGCTTCCTAATCAGCTTTCCCATGGCCCAATGACCTCTTGAGCCACCCAAATTTGGATAATCTCCCTATCCCAGGGCCCTTCATGGACTAGCAACAGTTTCTGCATCCTTGCTTCAATGTTTTGAAAGTCAGAATCTGATTCAGTCACCTCAGCTGCTTGAGTCAAGCCACACACATCCTATGTCCCTAGTAAAACAGTGGATTCTGCTACCTGTGGGTCAGAGTTCCACCTCTGTCCAATCAGCCATGGCTGGGAGGTGTCTTATGTTACAGTAGCAGACCCTGCCTGGCAAAGTAGCACCTGAGCATGTCTGCAGATGGTCCCCAACTTACAATGGTTCAACTGACCCCTTTTTGACCTTAGGAAGTTGTGAAAGGGATGCACATTCTGTAGAAACCTTACTTTGAGTACCCATACAATTATTCTGTTTTTCACTTCAGTGCAGTATTCAATCAATTACATGAGATATTCAATACTTTATTATAAAATAGGCTTTGTGGTAGATGATTTTGCCCAACCGTAGGCTAAAGTAAATGTTCTAAGCACATGTAAGGTAAGCTGGGCTAAGCTATGATGCTCTGTGGGTTACGTATATTAAGTGCATTTTCGACTAACAATATTTTCAACTTATAATGGGTTTATCAGGTTGTAATCTCATTATAAGTGGAGAAGCATCTGTGTTAAATCGCATGCTACAGACTCTTCAGCCGCACTTAACTGTTTGTTATTTACTGCGTATGTACCCCATGCTCTTTCAAGCCTTCATGCCTTTGTTTCTCGCAGGAAATTCTCTCTCCACTCCCAATCCATCTTCTCCTTCCTTAAGGAACTGATCCTCTATGGCATAACATGACACCTTCCCTAAGTAACTTCATGACACCTTCCCTAGGTACCTTTCATAAGCCCTCTGACATTACTACGCATTTTTCACTCATCTGTCTTCCCATTGAGTTATTATGCACCCTGCACTTGAAATAAGACAAACCGTTGCCTCACCAACTTATTGAATATGCTACCTTAGGAAAGCTATTTAGAGTCTCTGTATAATGGTGGATAATTATATTTATTTGGGAGGGTTGTAAGGACAAATATAGCACATGGCAAGTACTCAAAAAGTACTAATTATTATCTTTATTCTTATTATGAACACCTATAAAAGAGGAGCTATAAAATTATAATATTATAATAGATATCGTCTCTCAAAGAGACAATGGATTACATGGAAAACCCAATAATTTGTATGGTTTACCATAGCTTTCCTGCCATTTTGCAAACATACCAGGCACACATCCTCATTTCAAGGCCTTTGACTTTTTGTTCTCTCTGCCAATAACTCAGTTTTTCTAGACAGATGTATGGCTGGTTTCTTTCTTTCATTCAAGTCTTTGCTCAGTTTTTTCCCTCTTCAAAGAAGGCTTTTGGACAATTCCATCTAAAGTAGCAAGCCTCCACCATTCTCTAGCCATTTGCCTAGACTTTATTTTTCTCTATATTATTATGAAACATCCTACCTATGTGTGATCCACATATGTCACCTCTACAAATACAAGCTCCACGGGCAAAGGTTTCATCTGTTTTGTTTCTTGTCCAATCTCCAGTGCCTAAAACAGTGTACATTTAGGTCCCTAATAATTTTTTTAATGAATAAATGTTTGGACTTACCAGGAGTCCAAAAATGTTTTTTATTGATTTGAGCTAAGTTGATACATGCAAAAGTATATGCCATGTATCCAGTGGAAGTTGAGTTCAGAGAGAGGAGCCATTATAATGATTTTATATATTTACAAATCTTTACAGTTTATAAAGCATGTTCACAAGCTTTTTTCTGTTTACTCCTAAACTTCAAGCTTTCTAGAGATACCCAGTGGCCTCAGAAGACACTGCTCAAAATTGCAAATGTCTCTAAGTTAGAAACTGGTGCCCTTGACACAACGTAGGATAGCATTTAAAAATATGGTCATTATTTTTGAATGTGTATGTTTGAAAAAATATATTTTTATATATATTTTTAGCCTGGATAAATTGGTATTAGTCTTATCTTTCTTTCACAGATGATGAATCTGAGGCTCAGGGAATCTGCCTAAAGTCATGACCTAAAAAATGCAAAGCTCAGTCTAACATTCAAGGCTGTCTGACTCCTAAAGTGATGTTAAACCCAAAAGATACATTCCTTGGCCAAGAATAAAAAACTTTCAACCTCAGCAATCACAGACAATCTATTTCAGCAATCTCTTCTTGCCTAACTTTCTCTTTCTCAAAAGTTAATATAGAATGCTATCTTCCATATCCACCACCGACAGATAATGGAGATGGTGACCTATCATTCTTGCTAGTGCCTTGGGCTTCTTGGAACTGTGTTCTGCGAATTTACTGCGCTGCCACACAAAAGCAAATACTTCCTTCTCAGTCACCGATGCACTGATACAGTGAAACAACAACTCTAAAAGGAACTTCTGGAATCTCCCCCGCAGTTCCCCTGTTGAGAAAAAGATTCTCAGGCACAGGCATTAAACAATTGCTCAGACATAAAGAGCTAAAAATAGCAAATGCAATAATAAAATGTAGACTTTACAAAGCATTTTGTATTTTGTTAAGATAGCCTAGACCAAATCAAATATGTGAGCCAGGCACGTGGCTCATGCCCGTAATCCCTGCAGTTTAGGAGGCTCAGGAGGAAGAGAATTGCTTGAGCCCAGGAGTTTGAGACCAGCCTGAACAACATAAAAAGACCTCATCTCTACCAAAATAATAATAATCATATATGTGAAATAGACGTGGTAAGGGATAAAGGAACTCAACTATCAAAATTACTTTTTTACTGAATCGTCGAATTCAACCTGTTTTGCTGTTGATGGTGAGGCAGTGTGCAGTAGTGAGAAAGCCTGGGGATTTATTAATCAGCACCCTCTTCTGACCCTCATGAACTAAGGGGTGAGTTAGCCAACCCAAGCTTCTGCCTCCTCATCTGTAAAAATGGGGGTAATAATACCTACTTTACAGGATGATGTTATAAAAATAAATCTAAGTAGAGCAAATAAAGAATCTAAGCTATAATGAGTAGCCAGTAATGGTACTTAATATTAATGTTAATATTATTTTTGCACTCTCACCTCCCATCTGCAAATGAGTTAATTGACATGGACCTGGTGGTGTAGTCAGCAGCAGTTTTAATCTCTCATATCCGACAGGAAGCTCATGGACTTTGTGGGTTCTTTATCCTTTATGTCAAAATAGTACCCTACCTATTTCTCAGTAATATCATTGAAAAGCCCATTTAAAAAAATTCAGATTTCTAGAAAATTACCATACATACACACTATCAAACACAACAGTACCTAGTCTTCTCAGAATGAGGTGATTGTTACAGAATCAGAAACAATGAAGCAAATATAAAACATGTATAAATGCTAATCAGAGAGTATTGTTTTCAAAACTAAATTTCAATGAATGTCATGTAAGTGAAAAATAGACAAGGTCCACATTTATGCAATCCTCAAATGATTATCCATTTGAAAGAGATGTGCTGTATATTTAAACCTACACAAGGCACAGCGGTGTTAGCCTACAGGAAATTAACAGTGCAGCAATGCTGCCCTCTTGTGTTGGAAAATAAAACAAAAGAAAATATTTTATTTCTGCATCTGGGAAGCACAGAACACACTCAAATTTAAATGATTAAATACCTTCTGTAATACTTTTCTGATATGCAGTTACGAACATTTGTTTCAAAAGAAGTTTTAAATATAACTATATAAGTCATAACTACAGATACAAAACTGCAGATTACTGCAGATATACAACTGCAGATAAAACAGGTTAAAAAGATAAGGTAACACTATGGTATTTTGCGTGTGTGTATGTGTGTGCGCGCGCGCGCGCGCGTGTGTGTGTGTGTGTATCACATTATACCAACATACTAAAAAACTTAGTCAAAATGGACACATTATTAGAAAAAACATAACATTAAAACAGTATTAAGAATAAAGAGTAGGCTTTAAATAGGTTAAAAACGAATCACAGTTTTAAAAAATCTTCCCATGAAGAAAATATCAGACCCAGATATTGTATAGGTGAATCCTACCACATTATTTATAAATTTTAAACTCTTCCCCAAAAGATAAAAAGAGGGCACAATCTTCAAGTCACTCTAAGAGCCTACCATATCATTGATACTTTTTAAAATACCACAATGTGGGAAAAAAATATCAGTCAACTTCACTTATGAAACTAGATGCAAAAAAATTAAATAAAATATAGGCAAACTTTCCAAATATAAATTTAAAACCATAATAATATATCTTGACCAAGTTGAGCTTATTTTAGGAAGGAAAAGGCAGTTTATCATTAGAAAATATATTTATCACCATATCAATAAATTTTTTAAAAAAACCATCTCAATAAGTGCAGGGAAAAATATAATTTAAAAAAAATCCAACACAAGCATATTTTTAAAAATCTTATAAAGCTAAGAACGCAAAAAGCGCCCATAACCTAATCAAATGCATCTATAAAAAGCCTACAACAGACATAATCTGATTGCAATTCCCTGTACAATATGAAACAAGACGAGCATGACTATAATAGCACTTCTTTTCAGCACTGTACTAAACACCCAATACAATTACAAGAAAAAAATTAAAGGAGTAAAGATTAGAAGGGAAGAAACACAGTGTTAATATTTGCAGAAAATGGATTTTTATGTAAAACACAAAAGATTCTCAAGACAAGTTATTATGCATAATAATCAATAACAAACAGCTGGTTGTAATGTCAAAATATAAAATCTAATTTTATTTCCATGATCAGCCACAGATTGAAAATATATATTTTTAAAATATACTAGTTACAATAGTAGCAAAAGTGAAGTAATGTAACAAAGAGGAGCAAGACCTAAGAATAATAATTATAAATATTTTCTAAAGACTTTGACAGACCTAAATAAATCAAGAAATACAGAATGTTAATAGATAGGAAGACACAATACCAAAAAAATGCCAATTTCCAGAAATGGCTTTCTAAATTCAATACAATTACAATGAAAGTTATAACAGGTTTTCATAAAATTTAACCAGTGATTTTAAAATTTACATGATGAGTACAGGAGCAGGAAGAACTCACCATTTCTGAAGAGTGACAGAGTAGGAGAAAATGCCTTACTGATATAAATTACTAATTAGGCTCAGGGACAGACACACAGGCCAAACAAATAGAGAGCCCAGAATCAGACCCCTGCATAAATGATAGCTTGCTGTGTAACAGACATGGCATTGGAAATTACTGAGAGAAAGATCAGTCAACGAATGGTGGCGAACCTTAAAACTTTTAGAGAAAATATAGGAAAAGATATTTATAAAGTTGGGGTAGGAAAGGATTTTTTAAGCACAAAGCATTGACCATATAAAATAAAAGGGTGATGAAATTCAACTACATCAAAATGAAGAATGTTATCCACCAAGAAGCACCAGAAAGAGGGTAAAAAGACAAGCCAGCCTGAGACAAAATATTAGTATTTACATAAATGTAAAAATGCCTGCAAATCAGTAATAAAGAAGAAAAACAAAAGAGAACAAAAAAGCTAAACAGAGATGTCACAGAAAATAAAAAAATAAAGAGCAAATAAATATCTGAAAATTGTCCAGTCTTCAGTAAAGTCACAATGAGATACCTGTACATACCTACTAGATTGGCAAAAATTAAGTCTGACAATATCAAAGATCAGAGAGTACACAGATAAATAGGAACCTTTATACATGGCTGGTAGGAGTATAAATTTTCAATCACTTTCAAAAATAATTTGTTGTTTCCTGGTAAAGTTCAAGCTGAGCATACCCTCTAAGACAGCAATCACACCAATGACTGTCTCTTCTCCGGGTACATATGTGCAAGACTTTCTACGAAAAGAGACAGGTATACATAACATTTACAGTGATAGGAACAAAGGTGGCAGGATTATTTCAAGCTCCACCTCATTTCTCTCATTTACTATTCACGTATTTCGCGAACATTTACTGGAAGTTTGCTAGGTTATTGCAAAGTCACTGGAGAAGCAAACAATAAGGAAACTCTTAGAAACTCAAGAAACCGCAATCTATATCTATACTTCTTTCTATATCTACATCTAAAACAGTATATAATAGTTGTACTGTAATACTATGTGTGTGTATGTATGTGTGCCTGCAGACATGTACGTGTGTGTTTTAAATAAATTGGACTTGAGAACATGGAGGAAAGATTGATTTTGCTTGAAAAAGAAAATAATTGGTGGAAAGGCTTCAGAGATTGAAATCAAACTGTTAGCTAAACCAGCACCTTTTGTTTCCTGAATTAAAACAGGACCATTCACCCAAGGAACTAAAAATACTGCTCTTCAAAATGTGCTGAATTAAGACTTTCCCAAACCTTAAATATATCCCAGTAGTAAGACTGCAACTTTGGCAATTATACCAGCTCTCTCAGAGCCTCAGCATACCATTTATAGGTTACTGCTTCAGGTTAAATATCAGAGAGAATTTGCTGACAGTATAGAATGGCCCATATTTGAATAAATTGCTGAAGAAAACTGTGGAATCTTTTCAAAATTCTCTAAAAATATCCCAGCAGCTATCAATCTGGGACCTAAAGATGAATTTATGTGACTTCTGGATTTCATGTCCATACTTATTGCTTAATATGCTGAATTATAGTGGTAGCATATTTCTTTTTTAAAATTAAGAGCTTTCTTATTATCCCATATTTCAGCTCCTAATATATTCCAGGCGCTCTCTTAGGCCTCAGAAATGCAGAAAGCAGTAAAACACAGTCCTTGTCCTCAAAGAATCAGAGGCCAGCGTGAGAACAGCACGTAACCCTATAAATGACTGAAGAGCATGTTACTGTAGAAAGTTCAAAAGGGAATTGGGGCACCTTCCCCAGGAGGTGAAATGTGAGTCAGTTTTGAGTGACAAATACAGGTAAGCTGCTAGATAAACCAGAGAAAGGATAACACCCTGCTCTTGAGGAAGCAAGATGACGTACCAGAATGAACTCAATGTGAAGTAGACATGGGCTCGAATCCCAAATCTGTTACCCATGCAAATTTGGGCGACTTGCTTCAGTTTTTCACTTGTGTGAGTGTCAGTGTGCACACATGTGCCACTTGGTGCATTATGCTGTTGCGGTGAGTTCTATTACTATTTCTATGCTTTTGTTGTTGTTTTTCCAATAAGAGGAGAAAGACACATTTCTATGGGTAGAGAATGCAAAATCCCATAAAAGGGTTCCCTCAGAACTGCACTTGACTTTAGTGGATGTAGTATAAACTGTCCACGCCCTAGGGAAACACTTTTCTACATCTCTCTTCCCAGTCCTCAGAACAAAAGGTCTTTATGTGTCAGTGCCTGAAGGTTTACGGGACTGTGCTGAAACTAACATCTGAGATGGATGGACGGACAGGGCTCCAGGGTACAGGGAAGGATTTTGGTAAAAGAAAAGACAAAGTATTTACTCAATTCTGCCCTCTCTGACAGAACTAAAGCAGAAGATTCTTGTATAATAACACACCATTTTCCACAAGTGCCAAGCGTCTGTTTTCTTATGTCTCTGTGTTCTTGTTTGCGATTCTCAAGAGAATCACAAATTGATGCAGTATGAATTGTTGCTTGCCACTTATTATATGGCAGAAGTTTATAAAAACACTAACAATCTAGGTTTGGCTACTTCATTTTAAAAAAAATACAAAGTCTTTGCAAATATTTTGAACACTTTTTTCTAAATTGAAATAAACTACATGTGAGATGCAACAATAAAATATTTAAAAATTAGAAAAAGGAAATAGAAAATATTTATATGAACACAAAGGAATTCATGCACAAACAAATGAGAACCTGCAGACTGGTCATTCTTATTTAGAAATAGTATCAAATGTAGTGAGAGAACTGATCAAATTAAGCATCATACTTCTGTTTTTAAAATTTTCTTCTAATATTTCACCATTGAAAAGATTGGGGGAAAAAAGAAACTTAAGTAAAACTCTAGGCATCTAGATATTGATTTGTAGGTGTTGAAAAGCAAAATATACATAACAGTAATCACTTGCTTAAGTTAAATACTTGGTAATTTTTTTCTGAGATCATGATAAGATCATGATGAGATCATGCATCATAGACAATCCCCTTATAATGCATGAACGTGATATATAACTTAATAATCTATTTCTTAATCCAGTATTCTTTAAGAGTTTTAATGACAATTAGGTTGCTACTGCCTCAGTAGAACCAAGTTTCTCCAGACTGAAAATAATTTAAAAATATTAGCTAGGAACTACAGTAATTCAAGTATGGTGGCCTAGTTTGGCAATACTGTGTATAAGAAACAAGTTCTCTGAACCATATAACTCATGATTGTGCTGAAATACAGGAAAGAAAAATAAGTGTTATGAGATAAAAATAATTAATGAGGCCAGGCACAGTGGCTCACAGCTGTAATCCTAGCTTTTTGGGAGGCCAAGGCAGGTGGATCATTTGAGGTCAGGAGTTCGAGACCAGCCTGGCCAACATGATGAAACCCCGTATCTACTAAAAATACAAAAATAAGCTGGGTGTGGTGGCATGTCTGTAATCCCAGCTACCTGGGAGGCTGAGGCAAGAGAATCACTTGAACCTGGGAGATGGAGATTGCAGTGAGCCAAGATCATGCCACTACACTCCAGCCTAGGCAACAGAGCGAGACTCCATCTTAAACAGAAAATAATAATAATAAATTGTATCTTTATTTTATTCTTTATTTTATTATTCACCCAAATATTATTGAGTCATTCAAAGACCATTTGTTATGCAAAATAATAATCAAATTCAATCACCATTGATATTTTGCCAACTTTCAGTCTTATAAAAACATATGTACACATTTTTTAAAAATTGTACTGTTATGAAGGTAGGAGGTTTATTAGTTTCTTATCACTGTAGTAACTAATTGCTGCAACTTTATGACTTAAAACAACACAAATATATTAAGGAGCAGTTCTGAAGGTCAGCAGTCTAAAATGGGCCAGCAAGGCACTCCCACTGGGGATCAAGGGAAGAATCCCTTTTCTTGCTTTTTCACAGCTTCTAGAGACTGCCCACTACCTCACTCATGGATTTGCACAACTCCAATTTTGGCTTCCTTTGTTACATCTCCTTCTCTGACTCTCCTGCCTCCTTCTTATAAAGACCCTTGTGATTTCATCGGACTAGATTATCTAGGATCACCACCCCATCTCAAGCCCTGAACTTAATCACATCTGCAAAGTCCCTTTATCTCATAATGTAACATAGTCACAGCTTCCTGGGATTGTGTGGGCTGATATCCTGCCTACCCAGAGTATAAAACATTTTCAGCTTGCTCTGTAAATTATAAATACATATATGATGTGTGGGCCTTCCATTTGTACTCCTGCTTCAGTCCCTGTAAATGTTGGGAATGGGCCTGATGTTTCCCAAAAACAATATCCTAGGTGACAGAAGGGTCTTAAGACAGTGGAAGTTAGAATTTGGACAGTGGAAGTTAGACACAGAAGAGAATTCCTGCTTCTCTCTTGGCTTACACCCTAAGGGCCCAAGACATGCTTAGGGTTGCCTCTAAATTCCAAAGGTAAAAAATGTTCCATGCCCGGTGGAGGTGGCCTGAGAGCTAGTCTCTGAGACCCACTGCAGATAGGGGGCTATGAAATGATGATGACTAAGCTAAATTATGATTTGTTATCATTTACTGAAAACCACCTATGAGTCAGACGTTTTGCTAAGTGCTTTCCATTCACCAACTCACTTAATTTCCACCATAGTCTTAAAAGGTAGATATTACTATTACCATCATTTAACAGATGCAGAGCCTTCCTATCAACGTGGTTGAGTGAAAAGCAGGAGTCAAAGTGTAGTTTGCCTGACTATAAAACTGGTGGGTTTATTTTTATTTTTATATTTTTATTTTTTTGAGACCAAGTTTTGCTCTTGTGACCCAGGTTGGAGTGCAATGGCATGATCTTGGCTCACTGAAACCTCCATCTCTGGGTTCAAGCAATTTTCCCTCCTCAGCCACCAGAGCAGCTGGGATTACAGGCACACACCACCATGCCTGGCTAATTTTTGTATTTTTTCAGTAGAGATGGGGATTCAGCATGTTGACCACGCTGATCTCAAACTCCTGACCTCAGGTGATCCACCCACCTCAGCCTCCCAAAGTGCTGGGATTACAGGCATGAGCCATCGCGCCTGGCCTAATTATACATTAATGTTAGGAATTCACTTTCTTTTTATGATGGAGAAGGCATTAGGTAGGAAAGCTAGTTTAAATGTTTTGACTGTGCCACAACAATTAAGGGTTAATTTGGTGTAAAGTGCTAAGTTGAGGAGGACTTCCTGAAGCTAATGGGGTGGTATCAAAAGTGATCAGTAAGTGATTCCCTAGGACAATGGTTCTCAAACTTTAGCGGGCCTCACAATCACCTGGAAGGCTTACTGAAACATGAACTGCAGGGTCCTACAATCAGGGTTCAAAATTTAATAGGTCTGGGGTAGAGCTAATCATTTTCATTTTTAACAAGTTCTCTAGTAATGCTAATATTCTGACGTGCGGACTACACTTTGAAAACACTGTCCTAAGAAAAGAAGGTCCCTTAGGAGAATCTCAGTAGACACGAGTGAAACCCACAGGTTTCAGCCATCGTTTTCCCTAAAGGGATATTCATCCTCCATTGCCAAACCTTAGAGTATCGGGATTTGTTTCCTCACAGTGGGATTCAAACCAAGCCCTAGAATTATACTTGGAATTTTTATGGCTAAAAAGGAGAAAATGAAACAGGCATTCTGCATCAAGTAGGAGGAAGAACATTGGGATCTATATATGGGGTAAAACAGGTAAAACAGGTAAAAGGTGAAAGAGCCTTTGGAGAGGTCAATTTAAAGCAATCATATTACCTCATTTCCGCATGGATTTTTACAGTTTTCAAAACACTTTGGCCTGCATCACCATTTTTCAAGTAGTTGTGGAGCACAGACTATTCACTCAGCAGTATGCTCAGAGTTTTAGGGAATAAAAAACAGAATGACTCTCATCATAAACTGCCTTAAATCAACTCAGGAGACAATGACTTACTTCCAGACCCTTCAGAACTATTGAAGTCCTGACGAGAGGTGACACTTTTTTTACTGGATCAAAAACAAACAAAAAGAATGCATAAATTTCCAAACTCAAACTAAAAAAATAGGAAAGCCAAATCTTATTCTTGGCCACTTCTACATTACTTTTGTATCATCCCTTCTCTTGTCCCTTTCTCTCATCCCCTTTTCAGAAATAACGTGTATTAGTATAAAGAAATTTTCACTGGCACATGGAAAGGAAAAAGGTTAAGCCTTTCTCATGCTAGATCACACAATTCTGAATGTGACAACGTATCTGAAAGGAGATGTTCTCATAATCCCTCACTGCAACCATTATATGCAAGAACAAAGGTAAGGAGAGAGAAAAGTAAAGTTAACTCAGTAGGGAATAACATTTTTGATGTGGAGACTTGAAGAGTTGACAGCAGACCAGGAAGAGAGATGCTATTTGCGTGACGGTCCCTTGTTAAACATAGTGAATGGGCATTTGGGATTGAGTATAATTCCACTAAAAAGGAGGAAAGATAAACACAACCTTCTTATCCAAGACTATAGAAGATTTCCAGACGGTTTAAAGAAATGTATTTCTTACCTAGGACACAGAAAAACTTCATGCTGATCATTATAGTTCCTAATAGCTCTGTAATATTGTGGTGAATGTGGCTGGTGTTTGCCCACATTCCCTTTTCTGGTTGTACCATCTCCCATTTGCTGTGACTTTTGGAGATAACAACAAACAGCTCACCCCTATTCCAGAGAATCGCCCTGAACCAGATGGAAGCCACTTTGCCTGGGTGGATACACCACTTTCCCTCCCTTCTCCAGGGTTGACTCAGCCAATGACCTCCTGGCATGGGATACACAAGGCCAGCCTCTTTTTCTCTATGTACGACTAGTTCTGTTGTGTAATTTGTGCTCCAGTGTCCTGTAGGATCAGACTGAAGCTAGTCCCTCCTGAGACCACATTCTTGCTTGGCGTTTTCCCCATCCTATTCTGCTTCCCTCACTCCCCTATTGAGCACATCCCCAATAAGTGACTTAAACAAGGATCCCTAACCTGAATGGAACCCAATCTATGACCACTGATACAAGAAGCACTTCTAAGAGACAGACTGTAAAGATGGGGATCCTGGAGTTGGATCATTTTCCAGCTGGATGATAATGAGAACCCTATTGCTGGTGATAGGTGGAATGTTGATAGTCCTTGGAATGCTGGTGCATTTTACTGGCTTTCACCTATGCTGTCCTGTGATGGGATACAGGTGGAAGCGGTGCAATAGCTGCGACAATACTCTGGGTGTTTTAGAGATATGAAGAAATAACAACTATAAGAATGTGGAATTGGTTGGCTACTGCTCAGCACCAGTGATTGAAGAGAGAAAATGACAGGTTCAAGTCTATTAATCAACAAAGTAAATTAGCAAAGTGAGAGTAACAGGAACTCCTAGGCACTATTTAAATAAAACTTCCACTTCTGCACCTGGATGGCAGCCACGGTTGAAGAACAAGAGAAAACAAAATTAATTGTTAGCAGTGCATCAGAGAAAGCTGGATCTCAGTCTAGGCAGGTCTCTTACACAAACTTAGAGCCCTGAAGGGAGTGGGGCCCTGATGCTTGGATGGGGATATCTGTATCGACACAGTTAAGAATCTCAAATCTTGGGTTATCCTGAGTCCTATGCACCTGAAAATGTGACCAATTATCTCTTATTGGAAGACAGAGCTACACACACACACACACGTTTGAAGTTATACAAAGGTATCAAGTGAGGCAGGTATCTTAGATAACATTTCTTTACCTTCTCAGGACTTGCTCCACTTCCTCTCTTGGTTCATAATTAGAGTAAAATCTCAGCATAACCTGATCAAAAGTGTTGGGACAGGTAAAGCAGAAAAGAAATTATATGCCTAAAAACATCAAGACATGGATAACATGTTACCATCAGGAACTGGAAGTGGTTCCTCAGGGGGTTAAATCAAGAGAAGATAGGCTATACAGCTGTGTTAGGGAGTGTTTTGCAATATAGTGGCACTTTCCAGTGACACAGGATTTAATGCCCTGGCAAGAGCCCCAGTGATTGCTGTAATCAGCTGATACAATTAACTTTGAAAGCCTGAGAAAAGGAAAGGCCTACAGTAAACAAAATAGAGATGCCAGAATTGCTGTAGCAAATGATGGAGGAAGGGCTTAAAAGGCTCACAGAAGCAACATGCAAGCAATGGGTCCGTTCTATGAGACAGAAAACCCTGTACCGACCATATTCCTTAGGGAGGCCCATAAGACATGCCCAAGGCAATAAGGTCAGAAGGACCCCTGGGAATAATGATGTGAGATATTGTTATGGTAGTGGGTTCCCTAATAGCAATGGAGATGATAGGATCTGAGAAGAGCAGAGGCTAGGTGGCAGCATGTACCCAATAGAAGAGCGGTGGACAGAAGGCTATAATCCACAGCAAGTTCAGAATGAGTCAGCAAGGCATGACCCACAGAATTTATGGAAAGGGCTCATAGAACATTTTGTCCCTAGGGGCAAGATAGATAGGCAGCCAATAAGGGTATTTGAATATGAATATTCAAAAGAGATACGTGACGGCAGAGTAGAAGTTTGAGGTCAGCTATGCTCAGTGAAAAGCCTTATTTCCATGCTCAGCTTTTAGGCCTGAGCCAGTTCTGTGACCCAAAACACATCAACTGAAAAACAAGAAAGATGTTGCAACACCATCGATCAATCCGTAAATTACTCAGATATTTCCAAACACGTGAATACAGATTGATGCTGATAGCCAAAGATCCCAAACACCATCATTGCCTGTGATAGTTAATACTGAGTCCAACTTGATCGGATTGAAGGATACAAAGTATTGACCCTGGGTGTGTCTGTGAGGGTGTTGCCAAAGGAATTAACATTTGAGTCAGTGGGCTGGGAAAGGCTGACCCAATCTTAATTGGATGGGCACCATCTAATCAGCTGCCAGTGAATATAAAACAGACAGAAAAACGTGAAAAGGAGAGACTGGTCTAGCCTCTCAGCCTCTATCTTTCTCCCATGCTGGATACTTCCTGCCCTTGAACATCAGACTCCAAGTTCTTCAGTTTTGAGACTCAGACTGGCTATCCTTGCTCCTCAAGCTTGCAGGCATCCTATTGTGGGACCTTGTGATCATGTAAGTTAATACATAATAAGCTCTCATATATATAATATATATATGATTCTAGAGAACCCTGACTAATACATTACCCTCCTGCTAAGAGTAGAGGTATATGGAAGTCAACTAGCAACCGGAGTCCAAACCATGTCTGTCTCACAATGGGTACGGGTGGGCCTTTGCACAATTTCCAAATGTACAATTGGGATGGGCATACTTAGCAGTTGGCAGAACCCTTTGTTCATTGAATTGTAAAGTTATAGCTGTTGTTGTAGCAAAGGCCCAGAGAATGATCCTGGATATGCCAGTAAGACACTTCCACGAGGATAATGAATTTATAAATATATATGATTATATATATTTATGTATATGTATGCATATATTATATATAGTATATATATTTATGTATATGTATTCATATATATTATATATAGTATATATATTGCATCTGTATTAGTTTCCTATGGCTGCTATAACAAAGTACACAAACTAAGTGGCTTTAAACAACAGAAGTTTATTTCACAGTTCTGGAGGCTAGAAATCTAAAAATAAGGTGTCAGCAGGTCTATGCTCCCTCCAAAGTCTTAGAAGGAGGATTCTTCCTCATCTCTTCCATCTTCTGGTAGCCCCCAGGCAATCCATCACTTGTGGCAGCATAACTCCAATCTCTGCCTCCAGATTTACATAACTGTCTTCCCTCTGTGTCTATAGCTGTGTCTAAATTTCCCTTTTCTGATAAAGATACCAGTCATACTGGGAAAGGGTCCACCCTATTCCAGTATGACCTCATCTTAACTAATAATATCTGCATCCACCCTATTTCTAAACAAGGTCACATTCATAGATACCAGGGGATAGGACTTCAATATATCCTTTGGGGATATAATTCAACCCATAACAGCATCTCAAGGAAATGGCAAAAATTAGTGCCACCCTCCAAGTCTTCAAGGAGACAGGAATGGTGGTCCCTAATGGGGTCCTATTTAATACACGAGCCGAGCCTGGCCTTGCAAAAACTGTGGACCACCTGTTAACCAAGAGTCACCAAGCACACCAAAAGTATGTCGCCACTGAACTGGCAAATGTTTTCTTTTTCATTTTTATCAGAAAGAAGGATCGGAAGAAGTTCTCATTCACATAAACAGATAATAGTGTATATCCACAGTCTTGCCCCAGGGCTGTGTTAATTCTCCTGCTCTTTGTCATAACATTGTCAGCACAGCCTTGAGTCATCTGGACATTCTGCAGAACATCACACTGGTCCACTATATTGAGGATGTCATGTTAACCGTGCCTGATGTGCAAAAAGTGGCAAGTATTCTGGATGCTTTGGAAAGAAACGTGTGTTCTAGAGGAAGATTCAAGAGGCTGCCCCATAGGTAAACATCTTAGGGTCCGAGTGTTCTGAGCATCCTGGGATATGTATTCCAAAGTAAAGGGCAAATTACTATCTTGCCTCCTAGCTTTGAAAGAGAATCACAATGTTCAGCAGACCTCTTTGATGTTGAGGTGCAACATATAATACACTTGAGACTACTGTTATGATCTATTTGCCAAACGATGCAAAGAGGTGTAACTTTTGAGAGGAGCCCCAGGCAACAAATGGGTCTGCATAAGGTCCAGGACTCTTGCTTGCACCACATCACCTATAGTACTGGAATTAATTGTAGTAGCAAAATGTGTTTTATACAGTGCACACTTCTAGGGTTCCAGGGCAAGGCTATGACATCTACAGTACAGGACTATGAACTATTGATAAACAATTCCTGGCATACCATTGGGCCCCAGTAGAAAATGAGTAACAAACCATGGAAACTCAAATGACATCAAGTGACCACGTGACCAGAACTGCTCTCACCAGCTGAAGATAGTGATGTGCTAGAGACAGTTCATACCATCACATCTCTTCCTAACTCCACATTCTGACATCAGTTTGGCACTTGAAATCAGCCATAGTAGACATATTTATGCCATAGAAGCCACCAAATGCTACAAGCCAAGGCAGTATTTTTCAGAAGTAATCATTTACTAGCACACCACAGATACCAATAGATCCAACAAATCATAAAATCAGGTGACCCCAGCAGCAATCAACCATAACATGGATAGGATGTGCCCAGGGTCAAACTTGAGCAGGTGTAAGAAGGTATAAGAAAGATACACAAACATATGTCACAAACCCGCATGCTTTCTGTCACTGTTATAATGCTTCTCCCCTATTTCACACCTATGAATTCATGAAGGGTTTCCTGTGACCTGTTGATGAGGGAGAAAAAGCCCAAGATTAGTACATGGATGGATCAACTCAGTGTGTGGGTGTAAGATGAAAATGAATTGCTGTTGTACCACAGAGTAGCACTGAAAAACAGTAGTTAGGGAAAGAAGAAAAGTGGCATAAAACTGGGATATAAGGACTAATGACTTACCTAGCTGACTGGTTACAGCCTTGAAATAAACAAGATTGGAAGACCAGGTATGAAAAGGTCTGGGTAAGAGGCATATGGATGAACCTATGAGAGTGGGCACAAAGTGCAGGGATTGTTCTATTGTACATTTGTGCCTACCAGACAGAATCCACTGCAGAAGAATCCTACAGAACCCCAAGGATGACTGGGCCAGATATGTCAGCAAATCTCTATACTTGACCACCTTAATGCCTAGAAAGTGGTCTTACATACAGTGTAGCCACAGTGATAGAGACAGAGTCTATGAATGGACCTAACGGCATAGGCTCCATCTCTTCAAAGCTGATTTAGTAACTGCTGTTGATGAATGTTGGACCTCCTTGCAACAGAAAGCAAAGTTGAGACCATCTCTCAAGGAGACCAACCTGCCATTCGGTGGCAAGTTGATTCCATAAGGACCCTTTCACCCAGGGAAAGGTTATGTTTACTGTAGCCGGAATTAACGTGTATTCTTGGTCTGGGTTTGCCTTTCCTGCCTACAGTGTCTCAGCCAGTTCACTATCCAAAAACTCAAAGCATATGACAACCAAATTGGAATCTACAAAATATTTACTCAGGCCAAGAGATCACTTTACAGCAAAGGATGTGTGATGTAGAGGAAATAGCCAGGGAGTGCACTAATCCTATGACCACCACACCATCCAGAAGCTGCCAGCAATAGAAAAATATGTAATGGACTCAAATTTGCCACTGAGGTGCTAGTGGGAAAATGACACTCTATAGCATGGAACCCTATACTTTAGGATGAGGAATACACTTTAAACCAATAGCCATTATGTGGTTCTACAGTCCAAATAGGAGAACACATGGGCAGGGAGTCAAGGCACAGAAGTAGGAGTGCCTTTGCTCAACTTTACTCTCCTTGCAATATATGTGCTGCCTATTTCCATGATTTAGCAGCAGCCTTAACTTTCCTTGATGATCAGGATACATTATCCCAGAGAATATGTTAACTTCTTTCTTTGCTTATTCATCTACTGGTATAAGGAGCCCAAAGTGACCAGGTAGCAGCTATAGCTTTGAGTGGTATATTTATCATGTTCTCTGGTAGGAATGCTCCCCATGTAAGAACCAGGACTACTAGATTCATAGGGCCTATGGGGAAATGGGAAGTCATAAATGCTCTCCAAATCTCCAGACCCAAGCTACACTTCCTGCCTTTATTTTACATGACTTACCTGCAGTATGCTTAATTGCTTCTTTTTCCTGTCTCTGATCTTGTTCTTGTATGGTCAGGGCTGGTCATCTCCATTGTCTTAACTTGCTCTTTGCATTCCCCCTCCTTTCAAATGTTGTCCTTTTCTCATTCTAGAAACTCATTTGTGGATTCCATTTCCCTGTCTATAAAACATTCAACTATCAATTTATCTGCCCCAAAACTTATAAGTCCACATTTCTATATCTAATCTTGCTCTTGAGCTACATAAATATTTTCAGACCAGCATTAAACTGATACCAAAGCCAGACAGGGCACTACAGGAAGAGAAAATTACAGGCCAATATCCCTGATGAACACAGATGCAAAAATCATCACAAAATACTAGCAAACTGAATTCAACAGTACATTAAAAGGGCCATTCACCATAATCAAGTTGGATTTATCCCAGGGATGCAAGGATGATTCAACATATGCAAATCTAAAAAAAAAATCAAAAACCATATGATCCTCTCGATACAGAAAAAGCAACTGACAAAATTCAAAAATCTTCCATAATAAAATCAACTAAACAAATTAGGTATAGAAGTAATGTACCCCACACTGTAAAGACCATATATGACAAACCCATAGCTAACATCATATCCAAAGGTGAAAAGTCAAAAGCTTTCCCTCTAAGATATGAATCACGACAATGATGCCCACTCTCACCACTTCTATTCAACATGCTGCTGGACATCCTAGCCAGAGCAATTAGGCAAGAGAAAGAAATAAAAGACATCCAAATTGGAAAAGAAGATGTTAAATTGTTCCTATGTAAAAATGACATGATCTTATAAATAAAAATCCCTAAAGACTCCACAAAAAATTATTAGAACTATTAAACAAAATTCGGTAAAGTTTCAGTATATAAAATCAACATATAAATCAGTAGCATTTCTATATACTAACAACAAATTATCCACAAAAGAAATCAAGAAAACAATCCCATTTACAATACCTACAAAAATATTACTTAGAAATAAATTTAACCAAGGAGGTGAAAGACCTGCACATTGAAAACTGTAAAACATTGAAATTGAAGAAGACTCGGATATATGGAGAGGGAATCTATGTTCATGGCTTTGAAGAATTCATATTGTTAAAATGTCCATACTATCCAAAGTGATCTACAAATTCAGTGTAATTTCTATCAAAATTCCAATGGCATTTTTTCACAGAAATAAAATAACCAATTCTAAAATTTGTTTGGAACCATAGAATTCCCTGAATAGCTAAAGCAATCTTAAGCAAAAATAACAAAGCTGAAGGCACCACACTACCTGATTTCAAAATATACCACAAAGCAATAATAATCAAAACAGCATGGTGCTGTCATAAAAACAGATACATAGACCAAAAGAACAGAGAGCCCAGAAATAAATCCACACATTAATGGTCAATTGATTTTTGACAAAGGAGCTAAGAATACACAATGAGAATATTCGTTAATAAACGATGTTGGCAAAACTAGATATTCACATTCAAAAGAATGAAATTAGACCCTCATCTCATACCATAAACAAAAATCAACTAAAAATTGATTTAAGAGTTAAATGTAAGATCTGAAAATGAAAAACTACCAGAAGAAAACATAGGGGAAAAGCTCCATTACACTGGTCTGGGTAATACTTTTTTTAGGTATAAACCTGAAAGCATGAGCAACAAAAACAAAAATAAACAATTGGGATTATATCAAACTGAAAAGCTTCTGTACAGCCAAGCAAACAATCAACAGAGTAAAGAGACAACCTACAAAATGGGAGAAAATATGTGCAAGCCACACAGCTGATAAGGGATTAATAGCCAAAATATATAAGGAACTCAAACAACTCAATACTAATTTTAAACATGGACAAAAGATCTGAATAGACATTTCTCAAAAGAAGAAACACAAATGCCCAATAGGTATATGAAAAAACGTTCAACATCACTAATCATCAGAGAAATGCAAATTAAAACCACTATGAGATATTACCTCACACCTGTTAGAATGGCTATTATCAAATAAGTGAAAGATAAGTGTTGAAGAGGATGTGGAGAAAAAGAAACCCTTTTACAGTGTAGATGAAAATGTAAATTAGTTCAGCCATTGTGGAAAACAGTAGAAAGTTTTCTCAAAAACTTAAAAATAGAGCTACCATATGACCCAGAAATCTCACTACTGGGTATACATCTAAAGGAAATGAAATAACTATGTTGAATATCTGCACTACCATGTTAATAGCAGCACTGTTCACAATAGCCAAGATAAGGAATCAACCTAAGTGTCTATCAATGGATGAACAGAGAAAGAAAATGTGGCATATATATGAAAAGAAATATTCTTTATTCTTTAAAAAAAAAAGAAGGAATTTCTGTCATTTGTGACAACATGGATGGACATGGAGGACATTATGTTACGTGAAATAAGCCAGGCATAGAAAGACAAATGCCACATGATCTCACTTATATATGGAGTGTAAAAAAATTGAACTCAGAAGTGGAGAGTAGAATTATGCTTAGCAGGGACTGAAGAGGTCGGTGTGTCTGGAGAATGAAAAGCAAGGGAAGAGAAAGAAGGAAGTTGAGATGGTAGAGGCAGGGAGTAGTTAGACCACCTAATTGCTAATAGGCTATGGAACGGAATTTTGTTTTATCTTAACAGCAATAAGAAGCCATTACACAGCTTTGGACAAAAATATGATGTAATTTGACTTTGAAAAATAGTGTTTTGGGTATGGGTAGAATGAATTGTAGGGACAAAGTGGAAGCAGAGACTATCGCAGGAAGGTGATTTGAAAAGGCTGATGCCAGAGAAAATGGAGAGATTGTGGATTGAGGCAATGTCGGTCAAAGAATACAAAACTTCACCTAGGAGGAATAAGTTCAAGAGATCTATTGTGCATGATGACAACAGTTAACACCAACATACTATATTTTTGCAAACTGCTAAGAGAATAGATTTTAAGTGTTTCATCACAAAAAAATAAGTATATGAGGTAATGCACATGTTGTCATTTACCTATTTCACAATGTATACATATTTTTGTGTCAAATTCTTAAAATTATTTTGGTTCCAGAAAGTTTTTTTCTGTTTTGTATTTGAATCTCCCAAGGACTTTGTTTTTTGTCATGGGTCACTGTCTGCCTCCCCCAGTAACTCTATTTCATGAGGTATATCTTAAAGGTTTTCTCCTTTCTGGTTTTTCCTCTGGTAAAGGACACCTTGCTGGTGCCACGTCAAGGCATCAGAAGGAAACCTTTCTGATCTTCTTGCTCTGGCCTCGTCATGCTCTCCCAACCCAAGAGATAGAAAAGGTCCAGCTGCCTGTTTGGTCACTTCTCAGTTTTTAGGAATCCGGAAATAAGAATTTTGGTATATTTCTTTAGATGTGAATTTGTGGGAGATTATGAGTTTCTGAGAGCGAAGCTGTCCCAGGATCCAGGCATTCTGATCCTAATCTTGGGGCTCTTCAGTGCTGATGCCCAAGCTCTCCTCTTCCCAAAGAAGAGAAATTCCTCTGCACTCCTTGGCAAGACTGTGACAGAACCTGAGGCTTCATTCCTATCCTCTAGGACCTGTCTGCTGGCAGAAGAGGTAGCATTGGGAGTGAACAAGAAGTAAGATAACATTCAAACCTCTGTCTTCCCATCATCCTTAAGAATGCTCTCATCCTTTAACTTTATCTGCAACATTATATTTTTTAAAGTTCTGAAGCAAAAAAAAGCAAAATATCAACATTTGTTAAATCTATATGGTGGGTACATCAAGAGATTATGCCTATGAAATTATTTTCTGTACTTTTAGTATATTTGAAATATTTTATAAATAAAATGAGCTATTAAAGTATTAATACTATATTTATTCTCTCTCTCATCTGAAATTTCACTCTCTCGTCTGAAACCCAGATTCATACACCTAATTTCCTATAGCCATCAACACTTTTATACTTGTCCAAAATTGATCTTTTGGTTTATACCCCAAAAAATATTTCCCTGAGTGTTTTCAGCTTTAGCAAATGGTACCACTATCAACCTAGCAAATCAAGCAAAAAGCATGATTGATTCTTGAAGACTTCTTTTCTCAGACCTCTACCTGCATCTCATAGTAAGCCCTATCAATGTTTCTAAAAAGCAATTAAATCCTTTCACTTGTTCCCATTCCCTCTGGCATCACCCTGTTTCAAATTACCTTCCTGCAATAATCTCTGCTTCCACTTTGCTTCTATGGTTCATTCTATACATAACCAAAACATTATTTTTTTAAAGTCAAATAATGTCATGTTTTTGTTTAAAACTGTACAATGGCTTCCCCTTGCTGTTAGAATAAAACAAAATTCCTTAATATAGCCTACAAGCAGTTCGATGATCTAATTGCTCCCTCCCTCTACAATTTCAACTTCCTTCTTTCTCCCCACGCGCTTTCCATTCTCCATTCACCCCGGCCTTTTTTCTCCTATGAAGATATACCAGGCTCTTTCTCACCTCAGAGCTTTTGTATTTGTAGTCCCTCTGCCTATAAAGTTCCTACCCTGCCCCCTACTTTTTATACAATAACTGCCATTTATTATTTGTGTATCAATCAAACATCACCTCTCTTGGAGGACTTCCGTAGCAAACTTGTCTAAAGCAGCATTCTTTTGCTCAGCTTATATTTACTCTATCACATCACCTTGTTTATTTCATTTATTATATTTATCTCATTCTATAGTTTTCTTGTTAGTTATTGTAATTACTACTGTAATCAGCTTGCAGCTCAATGAACAAACTCATGCCTTTATCAAATAATTAACCAAATTCTTAATACAGGATTAGTAAGTTCCTCAAATAATGAGACATAGGATGAGATATTCAGCTCTAGTCTCTCTTTCATCACACTGGCTGGCACTCCCACGTGTAAGTGCCTTGCGTAAGTGGATCTTTCTTGTCTGAGGAGCCCTCACTGACTAGCTCAGACAGTCTACAAAGCTTTTCCTTGCATATAAATTACAACTAGTACTTATTTTGAATAATTATATATTAAGCTTAAGAGACTCAGCTTCAGCTTATACTTATATAACTTATTTATACACTTAGATGACTGCCTTTGTGGGGTTCAAGACCTGAGCATTCTCTTCATGTAAATCTCCATTATGACTGTATATCTCCCCCAGTATTACTTATGAGGTAGGCTCAGCTTCTGTGATGAAGAGACACCCAGAAACAACAAGACAGAATTTTAGTTATTTCACATTAAAGTTCAGCCTGGTATGACAGCTGTCCATGAAGTTGCTACATATTCAGAGCCCTTTTGTCTTGCTGTTCTATCAGGCCTGTGGTAACCTTGGCTACATGGTGCAAGAAATCTCATCACTGTGTACCCATTCCAACCAGTAGAAAGGGAAAAGGGAAAGGAGGAGGATGCCTCTTCATTTCAAGGGCATGATTTGGCCAGAACCTAGTATAGCTAGACTTGGAGGAAGCTGCAACAAAGGCTGAAAAGTAGTCTATTTTCTGGGTAGTCATGTGTTCAGCTGCATCTGTGGAGTTTTCTTACTGCTGGAGAGAAGAGAATGGATCTTAATGGTTCTCTTCTATACCCTTATTAGAATAAAAACATCATAAAAAACAGAATTTCTCTGTCCTCTTTCAACCTTATATCCCAACACCTGGAACAGTGTCTGGCACATGTCCTCCTCTAACCATTCTCACTGCTTTTGTCCTGATTTAGCCATTGTCATTGCTCACTTGGACTAAAGTAGTATTGTTCTCAAGTATCTTTCTGTCTCGGCTCCCATCTATCTTCCATACTGCTATCAAAGTGAACTCTTCAAAAGTGTTCTTCTTTTATTTCATTTCTTAAAGCCCTTCAAAACTCACCAATGCCCTCAGGATAAAATCCAATGTACCAGCAGAGCCTTTAAGGCCCTTTCAAATTGCATCTCTCCACACTAATACAGCTCTCCAACCAAATAAAACTAAAAATAGTTTCCTCAACATACAATCTTCTTTCATGCTCTTATGACTTTACACACATATTGCTAAACCAAGGAAAAACCAGCCACTCTCTCTTCTGCATTCCCACAATAACTTGTACATGCTACATATGACACTGTTTTATAATTTTTTAATGTACATGTCTGCCTTTTCTACCAGACCATAACTACTAAGGAAAGGGCACAGGCCATATTTTGTTCATTTTTCAGTTCTTAGCCCTGTGTCAAGCACAATGCTTCCTTTTCTTTGATCTGAAATAACCACACATTTGAATAAAGCATCATTAGTCTATCTAAAGCTAATAAACCTATTTATATGAACATCCAGCATCCTCAGAAATTTATGAATGCTAGGATGAATAAAACATAGGAATTACAGATATAAAATAAAGTTTACTACTCACATATTCCCCAAGGTGAAGGGCTCAGATTCTACCTAAGGTGACACAAGTCAAGATGGGGGTGGTGTTGATGGTTTAGAGTTTTTATCATAGTTAAGAGGGTTGGGACTAGAATGAGAATTCCTAGAGGACAGGGATTTGTGTGGTTTGAACTTCCCCATGGGCACCAGTGGAGGAGAGCCCAGGTTCTCTTATCTTCTCAGGATGTGGGGCTAAGGAGAAAAAGGAAGATAGGTGGGAAACTGAAAGGTGTCAGCCATCAAATATCCAAAGTGAAGTCTTTCTTTTTTATTATAAAACTATTCACACCAATTATTACATTTTGGTTGCAGCCATTTTTTGTTTGTTCTTCTTTTACCTTAAGGAATAATGCCCATCTCACAAGGTTCTTATGGAGTTGAGTTTAAATAAAGTAGGGGACAGAATGGACGTTGTATACTATAATGTGTTACAGTGAGAATATCATCTATATTGTAAAGTATTATACCAATTATTAGAGCTATATAGGCCAGAATCTATCCTAGGCACCTTTTATATAAAACCTGCACTTCCCATATTCTAATATAAATTTGGCTGATACCGGAATAAGTGATGAGGTAAAGCAGGGTTGAGGCACAATTTTAAATATCCATTGTCCATTACCTCACATACCTAAGACGGCAATCACAGAAGAGACTTTGTGAATTGCTGAGTTGTTGACTGCAGTACTTGAAGCACGAATCACAAATTCAGTTTCTGTAGCCAAAAGATTCCAGTGGGTGGTGAAGCCTGATGAGAGCTGAACAGATGTGTGTGTCATCAGTTTCCCATCCATGCACCAGCTTTTGTTGAATCCCTGGCATTTGCACATCTATGGGTATTTTGATCTTTAAAACAGGGCTTTAGGATCTGCAGCTGAGAGGCAGCACAAAAGTATAAAATATTTTTATTGAAAGCCTCATGCGACTGTCAACTTGTGACTGACTGTGGGAGCAATAAAGCACATCCTGTGTTTCAGAGCCCCCACCTCAGTGAACCAACCACTTTCCCCTCCACAATAACGAATGTTTCCAGCCTTAGACAGAGGCAGGGAAATCGCCACCACTCTCCCCAGTGGAGGTGAACGTTGAGACAGTGAACATTAGACATCACACCTAAGTTAATAGATGCTCAAACAGAATCAACATGTTCCAACTGAAACATTTACAGAAGCAAAGCACAGCCCTCAGGCAGATGGAGGTGGGAGACAAGCAACCATATTTATAATCTTCTTTGAGGGAACAACAAAGGAGAAGCCAGAACTGTTTCTTATGAAAGAGTCCACCATAAGGAAACCTGAAAGAAGACTCCTGCCTTCTTTATTTCCGTGCCTCTTCCTACACAAGTGAAAATGAGGCTGATAATAATTCTATGGTATCATTAAGCTGTGAGCATTTGCAAAGCAGTGCTGTTATCTAAAACCTAGGAATTAATCCCACCACTAATCAGTTGGCTTGGCATAGAATTGCCCCCAGATTAAAATTCACTTTTAACATGATTCAGTGTTTAGAACATGCCTGCCTTTGGCTGAAAGGAGAGTTCAAGGGCCCACTTTCCCTTATTCTCAGCAGTTGACCTAACCTCCTACTTTTGGAGAAAATCTAGGCCGATAGTTCCCAAAATGTGGTCCCTAGGCCAATACCATAACTATCACCTGGAGACTTGTTAGACACACAAAATGTTAGGTCCTACCCTAGACACTCAACTCTAAGGGTCCAGCAATCTGTGTTTCAATAAGTCCTTCAGGTGATTCTGACGCACTCTAATATTTAACAACAACTGATCTCCACCTTGGGAACTGAGGTTCTCCTATTTCTTTCCTTGTTATTTCCAATACAGTCATGTATAGCATAATAATATTTGGGTCAAAGATGGACCACATGTATGATGGTGGTCCCATAAGACTATAATGATGCTGAAAAATTGTTGTTGCCTAGTGATATAATAATGTCGTAGCATTACTCACGTGCTTGTGGTGGTGATGCTGGTGTAAACAAACCTACTGTGCTGACTTTTTATCATTATTTTATAATATACCCTTATGTATATTAAAAAAAAGTTAACTGTAAGACAGCCTCAGACAGGTCCTTCAGGAGGTATTCCAGAAGAAGGCATTGTTATCCTAGGAGATGGCAACTCCATGTGTGTTACTGCTCCTGAAGACCCTCCAGTGGGGCAAGATGTGGAGGTGGAAGACACAGATGTTGATGATCCTGATCCTGCAAGGACCTAGGCTATTGTGTGTGCTTGTGTCTTCGTTTTTAACAAAAAACTTTAAAACGTAAAAAAGAAAAAAAAAGAAAAAAGCTTATAGAATAAGGATATAACAAATATCTTTATGCAGCTATACAACGTGTTTTTGTTGTTGTTGTTGTTGTTGTTGTTTTGTTTTTTTTGAGACAGAATTTCGCTTTTGTTGCCCAGGCTGGAGTATAACAGCGTGATCTCGGCTCACCGCAACCTCCGCCTCCCAGGTTCAAGTGATTCTCCTGCCTCAGCCTCCTGAGTAGCTGGGATTACAGGCATATGCCACCATGGCTAATTTTGTACTTTTATTAGAGATGGGGTTTCTCCATATTGGTCGGGCTGGTCTCGAACTCTCGACCTCAGGTGATCCACCCACCTCAGCTTGCCAAAGTGTTGGGATTACAGGCATGAGCCACCACACCCGGCTGTGTTTGTGTTTTAAACTAAGTATTATCATAAAAAGTTAAGAAGTTTTTTTAATTAAGAATTTTATAAAACGAAATGTTACAGTAAGCTCAGATTAATTTTTTATTGAAGAAAAATATTTGTTTGTAAATTTAGTGTAGCCTAAGTGTACAGTGCTTATAGAATCTATAGTAGTGTATAGTAACATCCTAGGCCTTCACATTCACTCACTGACTCACCCAGAGCTATAATCAATCCTGTTAATTCCATTCATGGTAAATGTCCTATACCAGCATATCACATTCTTTTTTTTTTTTTCTGCATCCCATAAGTTTTGGTATGTTGTATTTTTATTTTAATTTGCCTCAATATTTTCTAATTTCTTTCCTTATTCTTTTCTTTGACCCATTAAGCGAAGAATACTAGGATATCGGGAGTGTGTTAATTTCCACATATTTGTGAATTTTCCAGTTTTCCTTCTGCTACTGATTTCTAGTTTCATTCCATTGTGCTCCAAAAAGATATTTGGTATAATTTCAATCCTATTAATTTTACTAAGAATTGTTTTGTGACCTGACATGTGATGTATCCTAGAGAATGTTTCATGTACACCTGAGAAGAATGTATATTCTGCAGCTATGAGATGAATATTTTATATATGTATGTTAGGCTCATTTGGTCTATAGTGCTGTTCAAGTCTGCTGTTTGTTATTTTATGTCTGGTTGTTTTATCCACTATTAAAAATGGGGTAAAGAAGCCTCCTATAATTATTGTATTTTTTGTGTATTATTTCTTTAGGTGTGTCGATTTTTGCTTTATATATTTAGATGCTCTGATGTTGGGTACATATAAGTGTTATATCTTCCTGTTCAATTGACCTTTTCATTATTATATAATGTTCTTCCTTGTATCTTGTGCTAATTTTTACTTTACATATATTTTGTCTGATATAAGTATAGCCACTTCTCCTTTGGTGACCATTTACATAGAATATATATTTCCATCCCTTCACTATCTGTGTCTTTAAATCTAAAGTGAGTTTCTTATAGACAGCACATAGTTTACTCTGATTTTTCTAATTCATTCAACTGCTCTTTGTCTTTTGGTTGAGGAATTTAATCCATGTCTATGTAAAGTAAGCATTGATAGAGAAAAATTTACTATTGCCATTTTGTTCATTGTTGTCTGTTTGTCTTGTGGTTCTGACAGCTGTCTTTTTATTCTTTCTCTGTCTTTTATTTTTTATTGAGACAGGATCACCCAGACTGGAGTGCACTGGCACAATCATAGCTCTTTGTTATCTAGGCTTAAGCAATCCTCCTGCATTAGCCTCCTGAGCAGCTAGGGCTACAGGTATATGCCACCATGCTCAACTAATTTTAAAAATATATTGTTTTACAGATAGGGTCTTGCTATGTTGTCTAGGCTGATCTCAAGCTCCTGGGCTCAAGTAATCCTCCTACCTTGACCTCCTATGTCTTACTCTCTCATGCTGTCTTCCTTTGTGTTGCAGTGAATATTTTGTACTGATATACTTTGATTTCTTTCTCTTTTCCTTTTTTGTATCTTCTATAGGTATTTCTTTGTGGCCACTATGGGGCTTACATAAAATATCTATTAGTCTATCTTATAATTTATTTAAAATAGTCTATATTAAACTGATAACAACTTACATTCAATTTCTCTACACTTGCACTTCTTTCCCATCACACACTATGTTATAGATGTTAAAATTCACATCTCTCTATATTCCATATCCCTTTAAATAATATTTAATTACAGATATTTTCAATATCTTTTGTCTTTTAACTTTATAATTAAAAGTGATTCATCCAACAGTTACAGTGTTTGCAGTAGTCTGAATTTGCCTATATATTTATCATTACCAAGTTTCACTTTCTTGTGCTATCATGTTACCGTTTGTGTCATTTGTTGCAACTTGAAGAGCTTCCATTAGCATTCCTTTTAAGACAAGTATGGCGCTGATCAACTCTCCACTTTTTTTTTTTTTAGACGGATTCTCGCCCTGTTGCCAGGGCTGGAATGCAATGGCACGATGATCTCGGCTCAATGCAATCTCTGCCTCAGCCTCCCAAGTAGCTGGGATTATAGGCGCCTGCCACCATGCCCAGCTAATTTTTTGTATCTTTAGTAGAGATGGGGTTTCACTATATTGGCCAGGCTGGTCTTTAACTCCTGACCTCAAGTGATCCGCCCGCCGTGGCCTCCCAAAATGCTGGGATTACAGGCATGAGCCACAGCGCCCAGCCTCTCTGCTTTTATTTGTCTGGGAAAGTCTCTATTTTTGAAGGAGAATTTTGGCATGCCAAGTATTTTTCATTGGCAGGTTTTTTTTTTTTAATTTCAGCACTTTGAATATATCATCCCACTCCCTTCTGGCCTGCAAGGTTTTCTACTGAAAAATCCACTTTTAGTTTTATGGGAAATCCCTTGTACATGACAAATCACTTTTCTGTTGCTACTTTGAAAATTCTCCCTTTGCCTTGACTTTTGACAATATAATTATAATGTATCTCAGTGTAGGTTTCTTTCCGTTCATTTCATCTGGTATCTGCTGGGCTTCCTAGAGTAGAATGTGCATTTTCTTC
Organism: Homo sapiens; assembly: GCF_000001405.40. Taxonomy (NCBI): domain Eukaryota; kingdom Metazoa; phylum Chordata; class Mammalia; order Primates; family Hominidae; genus Homo; species Homo sapiens. Next base: position 65,933,071 of record NC_000001.11, on the reverse strand, counting down.
CCCAGATTTGGGAAGTTTTGTGCTATTATTTCTTTGAATATGTTTTGTGGTTCTTTCTCTCTCTCCTCTCTCCTCCAAGAACTCCTATAATGTGCACATTGGTCCACTTGATGGTGTCCCATAAGTCCTTTAAGCTGTCTTTATTTTTGTCATTCGTTTTTCTTTTTGCTCTTCTGACTGAATAATTTCTAACAACAATAACTTGTCTTCAAGTGTGCTTATCTTTTCTTCTGCTTGATTTAGTCTGCTGTCACACTGCTTTAGTGAATTTTTGAGCTGTTATTGTATTATTTAGCTCTACAAATTCTTTTTGGTACTTTTTATACTTTCTATATCTCTGTTGAAATACTCATGTTCATGCATTGTTCTCTTGGTTTTGGTGAACATCTTCATAATGGTTATTTTGAGTTCTCTGTTAGGTAAATCAAATATTTCTCTTTCATTAGGCTTTGTTTCTGGAGATTTATCTTGTTCCTTTGTTTGGAATCCATTTCCATGTTATTTTTATTTTCCTTGACTCTTTGTGTAGGGTTGGTATATTAGACAAAACAGTGACCTCTCCCAATCTTCACAGACTAAACTTATAAAGGAGAAGACCCTCACTAACCAGCTCAGCCATGGATTCTCGGGGCCTCTCCAACCTGCCAATCTGTTTTCTTTGTTCTTAGCAGCTACCATCTAGAGTATGCTAGGTACAATCAGTGTTCCAATAGAAGTGATATTGGGGCCATTCCTCAAGTAGCCCCCAGAAAAGTTGAATCATTTGATGCCCTTTCCAACTCTTCCCATGACACACAGAGAGAGAAGCTGGGATCTGTGGTTTTTCACCTGTTCACCCTACACTGAGCTTGTGGGTGGGACTGCATCATCTAGTTGCATGCTAGATCAAACCACCATATTTGTTCTCATTGGCCCCAAGGCAGCTAGAGTATGCCAGGTCCCATAAGTACCCCAAAACAAGCCAGACAGAGGAAGTCCTTTGGGAAGCTCCCAGAAACACTGGGGCATTGGCCAAGCAGACTAACTCTTCCCTTCCCAAGAAGATGTTGGAAGCAGGGATTTTTCATTTTCTTGCTCTGTGTTGAGCTGAGGGAAAGGATATGGTAACTGTCAGTGCAAACTTCTGTCTTTGTTCTTACCAGCCCCTGGATGGCTAGATTATGCTGGGTTCCATTACTGCTCCAAGACTGGAAAGAGAAAGGCCCATCCTTTGGGGAGGAAGAAGTTGGAAGAGTGTCATACACATGGTCCAACTCTTTTACTCTCCAGGGAGAAGCTGGGAGCTATGATTCCTTTCAATCATGTGGCATTGAGCTGTGGGTAGGGATTCAGACATGAGGGTGTCCTGAATTTTCCTGTGGGATTTGATGTGTCTGGGTGCAGGAGGCTCTCAACTAGTTTTGGATTTCTCAGTAAGAGAATTTGTCTGTGAGTTGTTGTTGAATTGGTGGGTTCGTTGGGGGAAGGAGGGTATCACTTCTGTAAATGACATTTTATTATTATAATTTCAAATTTCAATTGTCTATTGCCAGTGTATAGGAAAGCAACTGATTTTGTATGTTAACTCTGTATACTGAAACCTTGTTATATTGATTATTATTTCCTTCAAGGAGAGGTGTTTCTTGTTTGTTTGTTTGTTTCTGCCAGTCTGTAGGATATTTTGTAAAGACAGTCATGTCATCTGCAAAGATAATTTTATTTCCTCTCTCCCAAACTGTATACCTTTTTGTATTAGGCCATTCTCGTATTGCTATAAAGGAATACCCAAGACTGGGTAATTTATAAAGAAAAGAGGTTTAATTCGCTCATTGTTCTGCAGGCTGTACAGGAAGCATAGCTGCTTCTGCTTCTAGGGAAGTCTCAGGAAACTTACAATCATGGTGGAAGGAAAAGAGGAGGCAGTTAGATCTTACATGGGTGGAGCAGGAAGAAGAGAGAGAGGGGAGAGGTGCTACACATTTCTAAATAACCATATCTCACAATAACTCACTCACTCATTATCATGAGGACAGCACTGAGGGGATGGTGCTAAGCCATTCATGTGAAAGTGCCCCCATGATCCAATCACCTCCCACCAGGTCCCACTTCCAACATTGGGGATTACAATTGAACATGAGATTTGAGTGAGGACACAGATTCAAACCACATCATTCTGCCCCTGGGCCCTCCCAAATCTCATGTCCTTCTCACACTGCAAAATACAATCATGCCTTCCCAACAGTTTCCCAAAGTCTTAATTCATTCCAGCATTAACTCAAAACTCCACAGTCCAAAGTCTCATCTGAGACAAGGCTAGTCCCTTCTGCCTATGAGCCTGTAAAATAAAAAACAAGTTAGTTACCTCCAAGATACAATGGGGGTATAGTCATTGGGTAAATACTTCCATTCCAAAAGAGAGAAATCAGCCAAAAGAACAGGGCTACAGGCCCTATGCAAGTCCAAAACCCAGCAGGGTGGTCATTAAATTGTATAGCTCCACAATAATCTCTTTTGACTCCATGTCCCACATCCAGGGCACACTGATGTAAGGGCTGGGCTCCCAAGGCCTTGGGCAGCTCCGCCCCTGTGGCCTTCCAGGGCTCGACCCCCCAATGCTGCTCTCAAGGGCTGGCATTGAATGCCTGTAGCTTTTCCAGGTGCAGGGTACAAGCTGCCAGTGGATCTATCATTCTGGAGTCTGGAGAACAGTGGCCCTCTGTGATGGTTAATACTGAGTGTCAACTTGATTGAACTGAAGGATGCAAAGTATTGATCCTGGGCATGTCTGTGAGGGTGTTGCCAAAGGAGATTAACATTTGAGTCAGTGGGCTCGGGAAAGAGGATTCACCCTTAATCTGGTGGGCACAATCTAATGAACTGCCAGCAAATATAAGGCAGGCAGAAAAACGTGAAAAGGAGAGACTGGCCTAGTCTCCCAGCCTATATCTTTCTCCCATGCTGGATGCTTCCTGCCCTCAAACATTGGACTCCAAGTTCTTCAGTTTTGAGACTCAGACTCACTCTCCTTGCTTCTCAAGCTTAAAGACAGCTTATTGTGGGACTTTGTATCCTAGTAGTTCTGTCCCTCTAGAGAACTCTGGCAAATATAGATTTTGGTACCAAGAATGGTTCTAGAGGAACAGTATTTTAAGAATGGAGTTCTTTCATTAGTTTGGGAGTTTCTGGAGTTGGCTGCTTAATATGATTAGACTCAAAAATGCTAAGGATTCTACTTCTAATAGTATGGAGAACACTGATAGTCCTTGGCATGGATTGTTTAGAGAGTTATACAAAATAAATGCATTTGACACTCCCAATTCACCACTCATGAGAGGCAAGGAGTTTAGTGACTCTATACATAATACCTTTGACCATATGTGCAGAACCAAGGAACGTAATGAAGCTGATTGGTTGCGCCTAAGTTCAGTGGACAAAGTGATGAAAGAAAATGATAAACTCATGGATTCTGTCTCCTGGCTTCAGAAGCAAATACTGAACCTCAAGTCTGTTAAGATTGCCCTAAGTGAAAGTCTTATTTCCTATAGAGAAAGAGCGGGAATTATGGAAAAACAGGCACAAACTCTTATCATGAAAGTGGGTGACCTGCAACAGAAGGTGCATGCACAGCCTCACCAGGTGTCTATTAAAGTGAGATTGATTGGAAAAGAATGGGACCCTGCAACTTGGAACAGGAACATGTGGGAAGACACTGATGAAGCTGGGGATACTGAATTTGTAAACTCTGATGAATCTTTTTTGCCAGAAGGAACAGCTTCCCCATCCCCAGTAGTGGCAACATCCCCTCCCCGACCCATGCTGCCATCAGCCTTTCTACCTTTGTCTGAAGAGATAAACCCTGTGCCGCCTGAGGCAACAGTGATGGCCTCCCCTGAGGTGGTTGCCAGGCAAGGTAATGCTGATTCTCCTCAGGAGCCACCCCCAACCTGCCTGTTTGCTTCTAGACCTATAACTAGACTAAAGTCCCGGCGGGCCCCTAGAAGTAAGGTTGAGAGTGTGACCCATGAGGAGGTGCGCTACACTGGAAAAGAACTGCTTGAGTTTTCTCATTTATATAAACAGAAATCTGAAGAACATGGGAATGGATATTAAGGGTGTGGGATAATGGTGGAAGGAATACAGAGTTGGATCAGGCCGAATTTATTAATTTGGGCCCACTACATAGGAACTCTGCTTCTAATGTTGCAGCTTGGTGAGTTAAAAAATGTTCTAATAGTTTATTTGCTTGGTTAGCTGAAATATGGACTAAAAGATGGCCCACTGTAAGCAAGCTGGAAATGCCTGATCTCCCTTGGTTTAATGGAGAGGAAGGGATCCAGAGGCTTAGGGAGATTGGGATGATGGAGTGGATTAGTCACTTTAGACCTCTCATCCCAGCTGGGAGGGTCCAGAAGATACACCCTTGACCAATGCCTTGCAAAATAGATTTGCGAGGGTGGCACCTGCATCTTTGAAGAGCCCTGTAATTGCTCTTCTCTGTATGTCAGATCTAACAGTGGGAACTGCAGTCACTCAACCACAAAATTTAAATACAATGGGAGTAATTAGATCCTGAGGTGGCAGGAGCCAAGTGGTGGCACTCAACCTTCAAAGGCAAGGTGGGCGTAGCTACCTTATTGGACAGCAGAGGCAAAGTGGCAATCAGAATGGTCTGACTCGTGTAGAGTTATGGCATTGGCTAATTAATCACGGTGTTCCTAGAAGTGAAATTGATAGGAAGCCTACTGCATTCGTACTTAATTTATACTAGCAGAAAACTTCTAGGTCGAATGGACAAAAGACTAATTTAAATTATAAAAACAGAGAATAATGGCCCCTCAATCGATTTCCAGACTTGAGCCAGTTTACAGACCCAGAACTCCTTGAATGAAGGGGAGGCCAGGTACCCTTGAGGAAGGACCTCACTACGTTATCGACAATTTGAGCAGTGAATCTTTCTCCCATCCTTCCCCAAGGAGACCTCCAGCCTTTTACCAGGGTACCTGCCCACTGGGGAGAGGGAAATGATCGACATTTAAGGAACTAGTGGACACTGGCTCTGAGCTGACATTGATTCCAGAGGACCCAAAATGTCACTGTGGTCCTCCAGTTAAAGCAGGGGCTTATGGAGGTCAGGTAATTAATGGAGTTGTAGCTCAGGTCCAACAAAGAGTGGATCCAGTGGGTTCCCGGACTCATCCTGTGGTCATTTCCCCAGTGCATAATAGGCATAGACATTCTTAGCAACTGGCAGAACCCCCACATTGGCTCCCTGACTGGTAGGGTGAGGGCTGTTACGGTGAGAAAGGCCAAATGGAAGCCATTAGAGCTGCCTCTACCTAGAAAAATAGTAAATCAAAAACAATATCGCATCCCTGGAGGGACTGTGGAGATTAGTGCCACTATCAAGGACTTGAAAGAAGCACGAGTGGTTATTCCCATTCAACTCTCCCATTTGGCTGTGCAGAAGACAGATGGATCTTGGAGAATGACAGTGCCTTATCATAAGTTTAACAAAGTGATGACTCCAATTGCAGCTGCTGTACCAGATGTGATAAAGATAATATATATTATATATATTTACATATATTATATATATAATACATATTATATATATTTACATATATTATATATATAATACATATTATATATATTTACATATATTATATATAATACATATTTATATTTTAAGTAACCTAAGTCTGCCTTCACATGTAGTATATATATCTTAAAACAGAATATTCCCATTTGCTCCTGCTTGTTCATTTCACACTGTTGTCTTTCATTTCCCTTACCCCTATACTATAACCACCCAGTGCATTGTTGGTATTGCTTGAAACAGTTATGTTTTATATAGTTAAGAAAGTTTAGCTTGAAAAAACTAAACAATGTTATCTTATCTTCATTTATTTCTCCTCTGACACTCTTCTTTGTGTAGATCTGTGCCCTATATCATTTTTCTTCTTAATGAATAACTTCTTTTAACATGGTCTTATAAATCAGGTCTACTGACAATGAGTTTCCTCAGTTTTGTTTCTCTGAAAAAGTCTCCCTCTCTCCTTCACATTTGAAGGATAATTTTGCTGGTTATAAAATTCTAGCCTGGTGAAAGTTTTTATTTCAACACTTTAAATAATGTACTCCACTCTCTTCTTGCTTTCATGGTTTCTGACAAACAGTCCAGTATAATTCTTATTCTTGTTCCTCTATATGTCTGTTTTTATTATTTGATTTCTTTAGAGATTTTTCTTTGTCTTTGGTTTTCTGAAGTTTGAATATGATATGCCTAAGGGGTGTGTGTGTGTGTGTGTATTTGTTATTTATCCTCATCCGTGGATAATTAACAATACCTAGATCAAGTAGCAAGAGAAAGCAAAAGAAGTGAAGTAATCAATTCTATGTAGGCCTACAAGTACAAAGGAAGAAAAGACAGTAAAACAAGATTCAGTTTAAACTATTGCAAACTCAGATGTTCCTTTCTGAAAGGGAGATAAAACAGTAAAGACACTAATATCTACTACATAAAATAAGCAAACATTTTACTCAAAGCCAAAAACATTCAGATACTGGGGAAAGATAGTGTCTTCGGGAGAAAAAGTCAAAGAAATAGGTCCCAGTAGGCCCTTAGGAGCACAAACTTAAGAATTATCATCAGAAGCTTCAGTTTAAGAATGTACTAAAGGCAATTTTATAGCCAAAACAAGTGTGGGATGAAAGGACCTAAGATCTCCATAGCAAGTAGCTATGAAAGTTTTCTGTAATATTGTTCACAAGGTTATCTCAACAAAACCTTTGCTTTAAAAATAAGGAAAACTATCATCTTATTTTCTTGATGCTACTAAAGAAATGCCAAGTTAGTAAGGAAATAGCAAGTCAAAGTGTAAGGGGACTTTTCTCACCAAAGGTGCATAATGGACGTCAAAGTTGCTTTTGCCCTGAGGATATTTACCACACAGAGTAAAAGTTAATATTAGTCTGATGTCCTTGAGGGTCAAGGGGGAACTGTAATCAAAGCCCAGCCATGCCAGGGTGAGGCATTCAAAAGGAGAGTCTTCCCAACTTAAACCAGAACTTCAAAGGGCTATTTTCTCATTGCAAAGGTAAAATAGAAGTAAACACACCCCTACTCTACATCCAGGAGACTGCCAGAAGGGTAGCCTCAGTGATAATTCAAGCAGGGCCAGGGGTTGAGGGCGTGGGGTCATAGGCAGTGGACCTTAACAGATTATGATCATGTTTCAGCTAGATGATTGAGAAACCCTCTGATCAATCTACCAATGCCCCAGTGCCCCTAGAGACCTGATAGAATCAAATGCAAATTCTCTATGGTGAACCTTATTCTGATACCTTAAACTGTGCCTACAAATAATGTTTCAATGACATTTAATTTATTGTGGCAGCACACAATAAATTTTAAAAAATTAAGCACACCTCTTAAACCTAATGTTGAGGGCAATAAATAAGTCAAATGCAAAATATTACACATTATGTGATTCCATTATGTAAAGTTCAAAAACAGACAAAACTAATAGATGTTGTTGGAGGTATGGAGGAGGTAGTGATGGGGCAGGGGCTCGGGGGGTGCATAAGAAGAGCTTCTGAGACACTAGTAAAGTTTTGCTTCTTGATTTTGTTCCTGGTTTTGTGGTTGTGTCCAATTTGTGAAATTTTATCAACATGCCCTCTTATGATAGGTATACTTTTTTGCACACTGATTGTACTTTAATAAAGTTTTTTTAAATAGTAGTAAGGAATTTTTTTTAATTTTCAGTTCCGGGGTACATGTGCAGGATGTGCAGGTTTGTTACATACAACATGTGCCATGGTGGTTTGCTGCACCTATCAACCCATCACCTAGGTATTAAGCCCAGCATGCATTAGCTATTTTTCTTAATAAAGTTTTTTAAAAGCATGAGCAAAAACTATCAGGAAACACAGATAATAGAAAATAGACTCACTGAAAACTTTAGTTACTAAAATGAGCAAAAGGGTAAAATAACTATTCTTGCTCTCTAAAAGCTTGAAAATATCTGCAGTGCAATATACAGCCTCTAAACTGATCTCCAATGATCTCCACCTCCTTGTTTATTCCTTTGCAGAATCCCCTCCCCTGTGCATGTGTAAGACCTAATGAACAGAATATATAAAAGTGATGGGATGTCACTTCTAAGACTAAGTTGTAAAAATACTTTGACCTCTGTCTTGCTCAGTCTCTATTGGTCTCTCTTTCTCAAAACACTTGCTCTGGAGAAACCAAACTGACATGTTATAAATAGCCTTCACATAGGTCTATGAGACCCACATGGCAAGGAACTGGTATTTCTAGTCAGCCACAGCCAGGAATTGAGCCTGTCAACAACCATGTTGATCAGGTTGGAAGCAGTTCTGCCCACCTTTCCACCCATATGCATGACTACAGTACTGGCCAATTACTTGATTCCAGTCTTGTGAGAGACTCTGAGTCAGAGGCACACAGCTAAGCCACAGCTGGATTCCTGATTCATAGAAACTCTGAGATAAAAATGTTATTTTAAGCCAGTAAATGTTGGGATTATTTGCTATGCAGTAATAGATAGCAGGGAATAGAAAACCACATAACATTATCTAGTGTATTTTTAAATACATGAATACAAACTTTAAAATGTAAAAATACAATAATCAAAATTAAAAAAATATAATAGGTTTAATAACAAATGAGACATAGTTTGAAAAAAAAATTAGCGGCCGGGCGCGGTGGCTCACGCCTGTAATCCCAGCACTTTGGGAGGCCGAGGCGGGCGGATCACGAGGTCAGGAGATCGAGACCATCCCGGCTAAAACAGTGAAACCCCGTCTCTACTAAAAATACAAAAAATTAGCCGGGCGTAGTGGCGGGCGCCTGTAGTCCCAGCTACTTGGGAGGCTGAGGCAGGAGAATGGCGTGAACCCGGGAGGCGGAGCTTGCAGTGAGCCGAGATCCCGCCACTGCACTCCAGCCTGGGCGACAGAGCGAGACTCCGTCTCAAAAAAAAAAAAAAATTAGCAAACTGGAAGGCAGATTAGAAACAATTATCAGAATGCAGCCCAGAAAGACAAAATGAGAAAAAAATGTGGAATAAATTAAGAGAAATGGAAGACAAAGAAGTTTATAAAATACATTTAATCAGAAATCCAACAGCAGAGGAGAAAGATTGGCAGAGAAAATATTTGAAGAGGTAATGAAAGAATATTCCAGATCTGATAAGGAAGATATAAATTTACATATTCAAGAAGTCCGGGAAATCCCAAATAAGATAAATGAAAGGAAATCCATCCTTAGGCACATCAAAGTTCAACTGCCCAAATCCAGAGACAAAAAACAATTGACAGATTATCTATAAGAAAGACAATTAGAGTGATAGCTGATTTCCTAATAGTAACAACAGAAGACAAAAAGCAGGGAAAAATAGTTTCAAAGTGTTGAAATAAAGTAAAGACATTTTCAGACAAACTGAAATAAATTCTGAAGAATTTACTTCAGGCAAAAAGGCAAATAATTCCAGCAGAGGTTCTAAGATATGAGGAGGAATTAAAACCAAAACATTGGTAAGTATCTGGGAAAATCCAAATCAAACGGTGAATGCAAAAAATAATGCTAATGTATTGTGTGGTAAGATATACAGAGAGAGAGAAATAACTAAAATACACAAAAACAAACTGTAAGCAGGGAAGGGCTTGAAAGAGTAAAGTGTTCTAAGACCCTCATGTAAGAAGATTAAAGTTATAGATTAACTATAGATGTTCAAGGCCCAGAATTGGCTTATTATCTAAATTTGGTTATGCAGCATTGCATAACCTATAGATCAGTAACTATTTAAAAAGTGAAGTCCCTCAGAGACCTGGTATTATACGAATACAATTCCTATGGGCCTGAAGAAACTACAGCCTTTACAGTGGAAGATGACTTAGGCTGCAGCTGGTTAGGAAACCCTCCTTCTAAACCATGCTTCAAGGTCCTGCTAACAAAATGAGAAAATCAAGAAGACATGGAAGATAAATGTGAGAACTTCATTTTTTGAACTTCAGTTTACAAGAGCAGGAAACTTTGAATTCAGATTTTTGTGGGGGAGGGGGTTGGGGGGAATACTCAAAAGGGCAGTGGTCAATATTGGGAGAACAGCTTCACAAAGATGGCAGTAAGTTAGTACTGGTATACTCCTGATATCTTCCTCTAAAGAACAGGCACATCCCTAATGTGCCCCTAAAGTTAAGGTGAAAAGATTTTAAAAATTGGGAAATGTTTGATATGTCTTGCAAGTGTCTGGAATGCCACCAGCATCACATTTCCAGCCTCTTTCTGCCGCCTTACTCACTATTTCCCAGAGAGAATGAATAATTTAATCTTTCTTGGTGTTTTCATAAGGGGGAACTGGCCATGTACAGTTCAATCCTTCCCTCTACTTTCTCACGTGAGTAGGATTTCTACAGATCCTCCATGCTACAAGTTTTGTAGGGGTAGGCCTTCTATTTATGTGTGTATAAGAGGTGAGGGGATCCTGCCCAGGTCTAGCATCTATGCAATTATAGGTTTCAATATTAGGAACCCACTTGCCCACAGACATAAATTATATTTTTCAGTATCAACTTTATCAGTATTAAAGATAACATCTTGCTTTCATATCTGAATTCCTCTTTCATCATATTTCCAAGTTGGTTCCAAGAACTCAGGAGCTAAGTTTCCCCTAAAACCTCCAATAATAGAAAATGCATAATTTTGGCTACTCAGTCTAAATGTAACAATAAAAATGACAATAATAATAATATCAAAATAACCATTAAGAACAAGTGATTGTGCTACATGCATAGCAAACCTTTTCTTTAATTTTCCACATGATTTTGAAGTGTAGGTATTGTAATCTCCATTGTTTGTTCATTTGTGTCTTTTGGAGATTGTATTATAATAGAAACTCATCTGAAAGGCTACAAAATGGAAGTCACCCAATAAAACTGGGCTTGAGTCCTTTCTAACTCTTTCTTGCTCCATGACAAATAAAATCACTATTCTTATATTCCCGGCCTTTTTTCTGTAATGATGGCCTGTTTTCTCCAAATAAACATATGATAAAATCATGTTAATGTTTTTATATAAAACCTTATATAAAATTAGGCAGTACTTTTCATTAGAACGGATTCAAATTATTTCACTGTCTTTGATGGCTTGATCTAGAACACACAGTCCCATACTTATGACTTATTTGGCACATCAGCCATGACCTCAAAGTCAGTTTTTGTCCTTGATAACTGTAAAAACAATGATCAAATCCTAGGATCACGTCTTAGAGATCTTTACTAGCCTAGAAAGGGAAACTTTTCTAAGGGAGACTTTTCAAAGTCGGCAAACTCTGGCAGGCCAAATCCAGCCTGCTGCTTGTTTTTGTAAACAAAGTTTTATTGGAACACAGCTACACTTCTTCGTTTACACATTGGCTATGGCTCCTTTCACAATATAACAGCAAGGATGAGTAGTTGTGACAGAGACTGCAAAGCTCATAAAACTTAAAATATTTACTATCTGGTCCTTTAGAGAAAACATTTGCTCATTGCTGGTCTTGGCATGGAAATTGATTCCATATTCTTGGTACTCTAAGTGGTAAGCATAATTCTTTCTCTCACGTAGTCCTAGGCAGTACTCCTTATCTCTATGAACTTTCATCAAGTTGATGGCATTGATGATAATTTGAACCCAGTTCCCTCACTTCTAGTCAAATCATTTTTTAATCAGATTCCTTCACCAATAATTCCACCAGTCTTCAGCTATCAGTATTCCAGTGGAAGCTGGATTTTCAAGAGATGTTCAGAAATGCTTTTAGGGCCGGGCGCGGTGGCTCACACCTGTAATCCCAGCACTTTGGGAGGCCGAGGCGGGCGGATCACGAGGTCAGGAGATCGAGACCATCCCGGCTAAAACGGTGAAACCCCGTCTCTACTAAAAATACAAAAAATTAGCCGGGCGTAGTGGCAGGCGCCTGTAGTCCCAGCTACTTGGGAGGCTGAGGCAGGAGAATGGCGTGAACCCGGGAGGCGGAGCTTGCAGTGAGCCGAGATCCCGCCACTGCACTCCAGCCTGGGCGACAGAGCGAGACTCCGTCTCAAAAAAAAAAAAAAAAAAAAAAAAAAAGAAATGCTTTTAGTTACTTATGTTTTAAAATAAATTCAGAGTTATCTGCATACTCTATTCTCATACTTTAAAAAGTATCCTGTTAATTGAAATAAAACACACATGTTATAAATGAATTACCAATATGTGGTGCTCACTGACTATTGAACATGAATAATGGCTAAATTTTCCATTTCAACCTAAAATACTGACGCCAAGAATGAGGCTACTGATACTAGAGACATGGTTTCTAATTTCCAGAAAATATTTATTGGATAATGATCAAGAGGACAAAAATCAACATTTGCTGATTACCTACCATATGCATTTTACTAAGCAAAATACCTTAGATAGATTACATCATTTAATCCTCACAATAGCCTATGAGGTAAATATTATTGCCCTCCTTTAAAAATAAAAACATTCAACTAGGAAAGAGAAACAAGCATGCCCCAAATGGCAGAGTCTAGATTTGATATTTCTAAGGAAGGAACAATTCTACAACTCCCAAAATGTCTTTGAATTAAATGAACTCAAACTTTACAAGGCACTGTACATTTTACCCAGGGTGTTACTCAAAATAGCTAACAACAGATATAGCACCAACACCCACCAAAACCAGATTCCTCTGTGCCAGTCTTCACCTCTTTGTTTTTAGATTGTGAGAAATTCTAGAGGCTTCAGGAGAATAGTCTGCGAGAGTAGTAGGGGCAATCAGAGAGCTCAAGAAAGCATATATTTACCAACTGGTATGAAAGCATTTCAATACTTTAACAACTGATAGAATTGTATCACTGCCAACCTGCTGAAAAATAAATCTGGAAATCTTTAAGACTCCAAATCCGTAATTATACAGACACATAATCAAGACTAATCACATAAGCTATGTGATTGAGTATCCTATAGGGGAGCCCTATGTGCCCTTTTAATTCTCCATGATTGGCTATGACTCTTATATAATGTTAATTCAGCTGAACAGAAGATGTAAGACAGTCCTTCTCAAATTTTTAACCCATTTTCTTTAAAATGTTTTAGCATGATTCTCTATCACACAGATTGTCTGATTAAATATTTGATGCTATTAACTGTGATACCTGGAGTTTCAGTGATCTAATGCTCAGTGTGTCAGGTAAACATTGACTAAAGGATGTCAAGATGCCGTATATCATTATTCAAAGAGCACATACTGGGCTACTCATCAGCCCTGGAGAGCTCAGCATGTGGCAGAGCTCTGTACATGGTACACCATAAAAATAATAGATTTTTAATAATTTACTACAATAATGTTGTACAATAATTTAATGCTTAGTCTTTCACTTGATAAATTATGTAAACAAAAAGTGATTTTAAAAGCAACACATTATTAATTTAAAATCATATCAGAGAAAATATTTTTCACTTTCATGATAAACCTCCATGATATGTAAGCCAATCCTTCCTGAAAAATATTTTAAAATGATGTAGGAAAACAGAAAAGGAAAAGTGAGAATGTACTAATTATTAAATATATAATAAAGCACATATTTGAAGCAGTCATGGCACAATAACCACAATTGTAAGATTATATGATTAACTTTTCAACACTGGTTTAAAATAGCCTCTTTCACAAATATAGACTCTGCACAACAGTGCCAGCATCTCTCATAGCGCAATTTTCATTACTCTTTCAATTTACAATGAAATGTTTTATTTTATAGATAATCACAAACTGAGATTAATAAAGTAGGATGATAATAAATAGAAGCTAGGGAGAAGTGTAGAGTTCAGCAATAAGAACATCATATACATATAGTAACATGTAATTTGTTTTTCTAAGTCAAAAAATACTGATGCACACTGTATAGCTCTTTTTAAAAAAGTTAGATCATAAGCAGTAATTTTGTTATCCCTTTACATTAATGTAAATGTATCTCATTCCTTCCTCAGTAGCTTTAAATGAAGCATGTTCCTTCCACTCTGAAGAACTAGAAAATATCTCCACTGTTTACAAGACCTTATCTTTGATTCTAAAGGGAAACGAATTCTCAAAATGTCAATCATCTTAGGTATTTCACAGAAAACTCACATTTTAATACTATGAAATTGTATTTGGAGAAATTGGAAAATAAAAATTTAGAATTGACATTTGATTTTGAGGCTACTCACCACTCCTGGCTTACAGTTGTAATAGCAATGCTTGGAAGCGTTGTCAAAGGCAGTGTGGTCGGCCTGGAAATACCATCTCCCTCAGGAGTCCTTGCCCTTTCACTCTGTCTTTGAGACAGTGGTGGTAACTGTAAGTTTCCTGAGCAACACCTTCTCCCTCTCCAGAGGTCGATCCCAAGTGTGTTACTGGAAGAACTGTAGGATTTACTCAAGCTACATTCAAAATAATCTTTAACATTCTGGAGGAACCACAGGGAAAGAAAAAAAGAAGAGAAAGAAAATGAAATTCAAATGTTAAATGGAGTGAAAGAAGAAACTAAATGATCAAGCTGTCACTTATGATGTCCTGATTATCTCACAATCAGAATCTAACAACGATGTCAAAAGCTTAAAGAGAAAACAATAGAAGAGGCTGATTCTCAGCTTTTAGAATAAACTTATCAGTTGCATATTCCTGGAGATTTTTAGGCATATAGATAATGTTTACTAGTTGTAGCATGTGGATTGGAGGCCTCCTTCTTTCCTATTTTAATTTTTTTCATAAGTTGCTAAAATGATATTTGCTAAAATCAAAAATATATTTTGGAAATCAATGTTATCGTTCTGCAACTATGGGAACAAACTATGAGAAAATATAAAGTTTCTCGTTCAGTATTTTATTTTATGTATTTATTTATTTTTGGAGATGGAGTCTCGCTCTGTCACCCAGGCTGGAGTGATCTCAGCTCACTGCAACCACTTCCTCCTGGGTTTAAGTGATTCTCCTGCCTCAGCCTCCCAAGTAGCTAGGACTACAGGCACACACCACAACGCCCGGCTAATTTTTGTATTTTTAGTAGGGACGGGGTTTCGCCATGTTGGCCAGGCTGGTCTCAAACTCCTGACCTCAGGTGATCTGCCTGTCCCGGCCTCCCAAAGTGCTGGGATTACAGGCATGAGCCACTACGCCTAGCCATCCAGTGTTTTAAAGTAAAAATATTATCTATCTTAGAACAGCTGAATGTTGATAATTAGAGGTGACTGTTATGTTCTTATGAAAGGTCTTCTTACAATTGGAGATTTTTTTTTCAAATTGTGTAAGAACTCAGAAAAAGAAGTATACTTTATTCAGTCTTGAACTGCCACGTTCAAGTACATGCCCTAATGCTGACATTAATCATACACTTTGTGAGAAGACAAAGACATTGTGCGGTACTCAATGATACAAGTTATTTATTCTTCCCATATCTTTTGGTGACAATGGGTCCTGAGATTGTTGGGAGTGGGAGGCCCAAATGAGCCTCTGCCTGGTGTACCATTCATACCAGCTAAAAGACAGAAAATGTTATAGCCCTGCAATGGTCACTGATATCAACTTAAGGTTT